>NC_000006.12:120525335-120828365 GCF_000001405.40 Homo sapiens
ATGGCTCTTATTATTTTGAGGTATGTTCCTTCAATACCCAGTTTGTTGACAGTTTTGTTTTTGTTTTGTGTTGTTTTTGGTTTTTGGCGATAGAGTCTCACTCTGTTGCCCAGCCTAGAGTACAGTGGTGAGATCTTGGCTAACTGCATCCTCTGCCTCCTGGGTTCAAGTGATTCTCATGCCTCAGTCTCCTGAGTAGCTGGGACTACTGGTGCACGCCCCCATGGCCTGTTGTTATTATTATTATTGTTATTGTATTTTTAGTAGAGATGGGGTTTCACCATGTTGTCCAGGGTGGTCTCTTACTCCTGGACTTAAGTGATCCATCCGCTTCAGCCTTCCAAAGTGCTGGGATCACAGGCATTAGCCACTGCGCCCGGCCAGTTTCTTAGGAGTTTTTAACTTGAAGGCATGTTGAATTTTACCGAAAGCCTTTTCTACATCTATTGAGATAATCATGTGGCTTTTGTCTTTAGTTCTATTTATTTATGTGATGAATCTCATTCATTGATTTGCGTATGTTCAATTAATCTTGCATCCCAGGGATAAAGCCTACTTGATTATGGTGTATAAGTTTTTTGATGTGCTGCTGGATTCAGTTTGCCTGCATTTTGTTGAGGATTTTTGCATCAGTATTCATCAAGGATATTGACCTAAAGATTTCTTTTTGTGTTTGTGTCTCTGTCAGGTTTTCATATCATGATGATACTGGCCTCATAGAATGAGTTGGGGAGAAGGCCTTCCTCCTCAATTTTTTGGAATAATTTTAGTAGCAATGGTACAAGCTCTTTTGTGTACATCTGGTAGAATTTGGCTGTGAATCCATCTGGTCTTAGGCTTTTTTTGGTTGGTAGGGTATTTATTACTGGTTCAATTTCAGAGCTATTATTGGTCTGTTTAGAGATTAAATTTCTCCTTGGTTCAGTCTTGGGAGGGTGTATGTGTCCAGGAGTTTGTAAAAAATATGGAACACTTCATGAATTTGCATGTCATCCTTGTGCAGGGGGCATGCTAATCTTCTCTGCATCTTTCTAATTTTAGTGTATGTGCTGCCAAAGTGAGCACTAGAAGATTTCAAAAGATAAGGACATATTGATTAGTAGTGATACATTTGTTGGCTCAAGAAACTGTTATTCCAATCTTAGAGGTGTCCTATCTAAAGTTCATATATAAAATATAATCTAGAACATCTTAAAATTATCTGGCTACTTTAAAAAATAATTTAAAATATCTGTCCTAATTACCAGACCAGTAGAAATAGGCATATAGTGAGTGGCTAATATCTACTTGATGGATTAAGTTATTTTGGGATGAAAATTTTGTTGTTTTAAATGAGCTAGGCCGCTGGTAGTAAACTGCATACCTATTTTGTTTTGCTAGTCTTTTGTCATTATGCACTTTAATTTTTACTTAACAATGGTGAAGAAAGCAAGAAATTACTTGTCAGCAAATGATGTTAACAAATGGTACTGAGACACATGAAATTATGAAATAAGTATAAAATGATGTATTATAAAAATATTTGTTTTATTTTATGCTGATGAAAGTTTGTAGAATGATTAACATTTTTTTCTTAGCATGTTTTGTTTACAACTTTTTGCTACACTTGTATTAGAAACGTGTAATGTGTTTTAATTTTACTGTTTGTTTTTAATAAGCGGTTCTCAAATGTATGTGCCTCAAAGCAATATAATTTTGATTTTTGTTCAAGTATATTTCCTTCATAGACTGACAGATACCTCTACTCATTGTAGTTGGTAAGGAACCCAAACAGATGGAGAACTGCCATGTAAACTATATCCTTCTCTATGTCAGTCTCACACAGGCAATTACATATTATTGGAAACAATATACAGAATTTATTTACCAGAATTACATGGAACCAGCACATACTTACAAAGGAGCCAGAAAATGCAATCCTACCCTTATTCCTGGAAGATATACAGGTGGAATTATTTTGGGGGCATCAAAATGGCTACTACATTGTTCATTATATTTTTTGTTGTAATAACAATTTATATGTATTGTAAGTTAGCATAGTGTAGTGATTACAAGTATATATTCTAGAGCTTGAATACTGGATTTTAAATTGTGTCTCTGCCATTTAACTAGCTGTAAGTTCAACTCTCTGTTTTTTAGTTTTCTTATCTGAGTATTTTGATATTTCTATAAAGCATTGTTTTGACTATTAAATATGGTAATAGGGTTAAAACACTTAGAACATTGCCTTACAAGGAGATTCCTATAATTTTAGGAAGTTTATCATAAATCCTATAAATTTAAGATTTACGGTTGGATTAGATCTAAGATTTAAATATACCTAGTGTGCAGAATTAAGTAAATGGTCTTTCCCTTGAAAGTTTGTACATCTAGAGATTCAAATAAAGATCTGAGGGAAAAATGTTCAACTACGACCTTGTAGGGGCTCAGTCTTACATAGGCAAATGTAGCCTGGCTAACCTTCTAATGCTGACAGGGATAAGGGAAAGTAGGGAAGAGAAGTTCAGACTCTGGCTCAGTAGCAAGGTTGCTTCCACAGCTTTTGGCAGGGGACTGAAATGAATGAGAGGTGAGGACTACATTTTTTATTGCAAAGCTGGTAGGTAGTTTTCTGGTTCTGTCATGAAAGCAACTCCTAAAGCAGTAACAGGAGAAATTCTGATTAGCAATAACGAGGAAGAATCTGTTATTGCATTTACGTAGTTGATAAAGAGTATATTCATTAAATTACCACAGGGTATTGGTACTGGTCTACTTTGGGAAATGCCGTAAGCCTATAACATTTTCTTAAGTATACTCTTGGTGAGGACATATTCTTCATCTTGTAGGAAATTTGATTTTTCATCAAAATTAATGGCTGAATCATAATCTGGATGATAAACATGGTAGTACCATTACAAAAGTAAGTGCAACTATGAAGTAATGGTACTAGAGTTCTATGGTTCATAAAACAATACAATAGGCATTTCTTTAAACAAGTTTTTAAAAGTTTTACATATAAGCAGAATAAATTCCTAACCTGATATCTAAAAGTGAACATTTGTTTGAAGATACAGATATAATAATATGACAGTATTTTTCTTAAAATATAACATGCATATGTAATTTTATAGGCTCATATATCAATTGTATATTTATTTACTAAATTATGATTTATGGAAGAAAACTAAAGGGACTGAATATCTTGATTTGGCATAATAAACCCACATGGGGTTTTCAATTCACAATATGTATTGTGTAAACAGGTTTTATTGGGAAAAAATCACATAGTGTAAAGAGAAGGCACACGATTACTTGTTATTTTATGTCTATGACCAGGTTATCTGAAGAAGTTCTTGCTGTTTATTTGTGACTAGATTCTTTGGCAAGCTACAGGCCTTCTTAGCACTGACACTGATCTTTTATTCTTCACTGCCTCCAAACATTTAAATAGGATAGTACTGATAACAACAATAACAACAACAATAAAAACAGCTCAAGGAAGATTAAAAAACAATCCAATCAAATTATTCATTGTGGTGCTTAATTAGGGCTCCTATGAGTGCTCTATTTCAGGTGAATGGATCCCCTGCTCCTCCTTCTAGTTCCTGGAATAAACCTGTGTCTGGTCTATGTTGCTGGACATGTAGGTGTTTAGAGTTTAGAGTCCCAGTAAGGGGAACTATTTCTTACTATTTATTTTTCTCATTCAGCTTCCTTATAATTCAAGTGTTGGAAATGACTTATGCATATGAGTCAAACAGAGCAAGGTTTAGACACCAGGATACTGGGGTATAAAGGTCAGCTATGCATTAAAATTTGAGGGGCTTGAATAAAGTTGAGCTTCAATATAATGACCTTGCATGAAATTAAGATCAGCTGTGCAAGCAAAGAGTCTACCACTGTCCACAGTCTTCTAAAAAGGTGATCTCAGGTGTAAACTCTCCCCTTGGATTTTTAGAGAAAGAAAAATTACCAATCTCCAGTCAACTGATTGCTATGCAACCTAACTTCCAGGGTTTCTTTATGACCATCCTGCTTGTCTCTATTCATACGTTTCAAAGCCTTGTCTATATAATCCCAAAACATCAGATATAGCTGAAAGAATAGTCAATCAGCATGATCCTGGAAACCCAAAGCTATGGCTAGGCTTCTAGCTTCATCAAAATGGGTTTTTAAAAAAAATCAACAGGAAAAATAACTGTTGTATGGCCCACAGTTTTATTACGACTTGTCTAAAACTCTTTATACTACATGTATTATAGAATTTAGAGGGCTTTTAAAAAATATTTTGGAAACATAATACACTGCATATACATGTACTATGTAACATCACAGTGGGATCTGGGGCAATGCCCCAAAATCAAATACAGTAATATTTGTGTAGCAAAATATATGAATATTTAACTACTTGAACTACTAAGGACATATCAGTTGAGATCAGGTTTGCTATGAATGTCAAAAAATTTTTGTTTTAAAGTTTTTTTTATTTTTAACTAAATTTAATAAATTATGGATTTGAATTGCAGTTTTATTCTACAAGCCAAAAATAAGGAACACTCAGATGCATTAACCTTAACTAAAGTGCTCACAAAATTCCCAATTTAATATCATAAGAATCACATGAATGACTGTTTTAAATGATTGGGCTCTTTTTTTTTTCTTATCAATACCAGCCAATTTGGTGACATTTAGAAGGTGCCAAGAATAAAAGATCAAGGTCAATGCAAACATGTGCTCACAACAGTCAAAGAAATTGGTCACAAAATGTACAGCAAGAACTTCTTGTTCAGTGGACTGAGTCAAAGATGCTAAATACAGAAATACAGACCAAATGTTTAGTTCTAGATATTAATACTTAAACAATCCAAGCAGTTGCTTGCATTTGATTATTTTTGAACATTCAGAATGAGTTTTTCATTTTCATCTGACTAGTAGGACCAAAAAAAAAATGGGTAAATACATGCATAGAGAAAAAAGTTAGTGAAGAATGCTTATTATAAACATGTATGTATGCATGTATGCATTCATATATGTATTTAAAATGGTATTAATATCACTTTAATGAGATAAAATTAGAGAATGATGAATTTTAAGATCATGATTAAAATTTGAATATAAATGAGGAGGAAATAAAATTTTACCCCATAAAGCATGATCCTTCTCTTTTATTTATTTATTTATATACTCATTCATGTATTAATTTAGCCAAGTAATATTTAATGAATGCTGGGGTTATAAAATTTTGCATAATATAAAACCTGGCTCTGAAGTGCTCACAATCTTCAAGTCCTGAGCTCCCTACGCTTGCCTTTTCTCTATTGGTAAAGTGTACTTTCAATTTGTGAAATCATGGATGGCTTTAAATTTTGAGAGTAGGTTCTGTGTGGCTGGAAAGATATTTTCGATTTTGACCCTAGTTGTAAAACTCAAGTAGCATATCTGTGGCTTCACTTCCCCTCTCTCAGCAGTCTCCTTCCATTTACCCTGCATATAACATAGGAATTTGCCATTACTATACTCACACAATAGTACAGTATGTGGTATATCAGTCCGTTTTCACACTGCTATAAAGAACTACCTGAGACTGGGTGACTTATGAAGAAAAGAGGCTTAATTGACTCAGAGTTCCACAGGCTTAACAGGAAGCATGACTGGGAGACCTCAGGAAACTTACAATCATGGCAGAAGGTGAAATGGAAACAAGGCATATCTTACATGATGGCAGGAGAGTGAGAGCAAAGAGAAGTGCCACACTTTTAAACCATCAGATCCCATGAGAACTCACTCACTATCAGGAGAACGGCATGGGGAAAACTGCCACCATGATCCAGTCACCTCCTATCATGTCCCTCCCTTGACATGTGGCGATTATTACAATTCAAGGCGAAATTTGGGTGGGGCTGAACCACATCATGTAGTGAAAGAAATATGAATGTTTAAAGAAGCTCTTGGAGAAACTTAATTAAGTCTTTACTTTTATTCTTATCTCCTTCTGTACCATTTGGCTACCACATAGATTCTAAGGAAGAATCTGTCCTTTGATGGGCAAAGACATTTGAGCTTAGGAACTAATTACCTTCTGCCAGTTAACAGATTTATTTTAAATTCCTTGGAAAAAAGTTAAACCGGAGGTTTTGAAGTTAACTAGGGCTTCACCTTTGAAGTTCCTTAATGCTTTGTGCTAACACATTAACTTTTTCTTGATGGTACAAGTTGCTTTAAATCACTTATTAAAAAGTTTATTTGTCATTCCATTCTCCAGGAAACCATTTCTGGGAGAATTTGAAGAGATTGTAATTTCATATTTCTTCCAATTTATCAACTTTGAGTTGAGTTTCTTTCTGTGGAAAGTAAAATAGTTAAAGCACAACAGTACAATGTCAATAGGAATATCAACATTATTTTGATTAAACTGGCTAAGGAAACCATTTTTAAAGTGACTTTTAAATAATAATTTGTGGAAAACAAGAAATATATATACAAGATATGGCTAAAATAATTAGAATGTCATCCTACCTAAACTGATGGCATATACTAAATATACTAGGACACTTCCTCTGAGTAGCTATCAGTTCTTGTCATCGATCCCCCATCCCCACTGCTTTTCCAGTGAGGAAACAAAAGTACCTGTGAATGCCTGGTATTGACCTACACATCCTCAATTTTATTTGGCCCAGTATCTTTCTGTCCCAGAGGCACAACCCCTTGTAGAGATGATCAAGCTTGCGTTTTGAAATACAAAGCTCTTAAAAATTATAGGAACTTGACTCCTTTGTTTCCGATTTTGATAATAAGTGTCTTCCCTTTTGTAAAATATAAATAAAAATTTGTAAATTTGTTGCATATTCAGTGAATCAAGTATTGGTTCAACCAAGAGATATAATTCACAAAAAAGAGCCAAAGAGAAATTCTGTGACTGGAAGAATACAATACATGAAATTAAAAAACAGAAGAAAGAATAATAACAGAATTTATCAAGCAGAAGAAAGAATCTTGAAACTCGAAGAAAGGTCAGTTAGAAATATCCAATCAGGGGAGGGAAATAAAGAATGCAAAGGAATGAGGAAAGCCTACAGGGTGTATGAAAAAAATTCAAAAAAGCTAACACTCACATCATAGAAGTTAGAGAAGGAGAAGAGAGAGAAAGGGACAGAAAGCTTATTTAAGGAAATAAAAGTTGAAATCTTCCGAAATCTGGGGGAAGACATGAACATCCAAGTACTTCACATCTCAAAAGTCTCCCATCCCAGGTTCAACCCAAAGAAGACTCTACCAAGGCATATTTAAATTAAGCTGTAAAAATCAGGCCGGGCATGGTGGCTCACGCCTGTAATCCCAGCACTTTGGGAGGCCAAGGCGGGCGGATCACAAGGTCAGGATATGGAGACCATCCTGGCTAACATGGTAAAACCCCATCTCTACTAAAAATACAAAAAATTAGCCAGGCGTGGTGGCGGGCACCTGTAGTCCCAGCTATTTGGGAGGCTGAGGCAGGAGAATGGTGTGAACCCGGGAGGCGGAGCTTGTAGTGAGCTGAGATCGCGCCACTACACTCCAGCCTGGGAGACAGCAAGACTCTGTCTCAAAAAAAAAAAAAAAAAAAAAAAATCAAAGACAAAGAGAGAATCTTGAAATAAACAAGAGAAAAAAGTTTTCTCACATACAAAGGAACCTATATGAGTCTATCCAGAGATTTTTTGGCAGAAACTTTGCATGCCAGAAAAAAAGTGAAATGATAGAGTCAAAGCGCTGAAAGAAAATATCTGCCCACCAAAAGTATTTACGTGGAAAATCTGCTCTTCAGAAATAAAAAGGGCAGTTAAATACTTCCCCAGACAAACAAAAGCTGAGGGAATTCATCACTTCTTGATCTGCCTCACAAAAAATGCTATAGAAAGTTATTCAAACTGAAACTAAAATGAGCTAAGTAGTAGCATGAAAGTATATGCAATTGTAAAACTCACTGTTAAAATTACTGTGTAGTCAATCTTAGAATACTCTAAAACTGTAATGCTGGTGTGTAAATCCCTTAACTCTCTAGTATAAAGCTCACCGTTTAAATTAATATATAACCAATCTCAGAATACTCTTAATACTGTAATGCTGGTGTGTAAATCTCTTATCTGTCTAGTATAATGGTTAAAAAATAAAACTATTAAAACTGACTATAGCTACAATAATTTGTTAAGAAATACACCATATTAAAAGATGTAAATTTTGACATAAAACATAAAATGAAAAGGGAAGTAAAAGTGTAGTTTTTGTATATGATCAAATTTGTTATCAGCTTAAAATAAACTGTTATAAGAGGTTTTATGTAAGCCTAATGGTAAACAAAAAGAAAACATCTATAGTTAATGCATAAAAGATAAAGAGAAAAAAAGAACCAGAAAATATACAAAACAGCTAAAAAAAAAAAAGATGTTAAAGTGACAATAGTAAGTCCTTACCTAGAAAGTATTACCATGAATGTGAATGCATTAGAACTTTCAACCAAAGACATGGAGTGGATGGATACATTTCAAAAACCTAACAATATGCTGCATACAAGAAACTTGCTTCATCTTTAAGGACTGAAAATGAAAGGATAGAAAAAGGTTGTGAAAACCAAAAGAAAGCACATGTGTTTATACTTGTAACAGATAAAATAGACTTTGAATTGAAAACTTTAAAAAGAGAAAAAGAAGGTCATTATATAATGAGAAAGAGGTCAATTTAACAAGATAATATAACAATTATAAATATATATGATCTCAAATTGGAGCACCTAAATGTATGAAGAAATATTAATGGATGTAAAAGCAGAGAGAGATTATAATACAATAATAGTAGAAATCTTCAATGCCCCACTTTCAACAGTGGATAGATCACCCATACAGAAAAATCAGTAAAGAAATATTGAACTTGAAGTACACTTTCAACCAAATGCATACAACATACCAAAACTTATGAGATATAGTGAAAGCAGGTCTTATCTAAACTGGATTTAGAAAATCCTGATGTGGTAGAAGTGCCATATTATTTTTTTCTATTGCCAAAGAAAAGTATATGAATGCCAGTGACTGGTCTGAGATCATGACACTGTATAAGAGAAACATGCTTTGTAGAGTTTGTTGTGTCATCTGGAAAAATTCAATTAACCTCTCCAACTTTATTCTCTCTCTTTCTCTGACTCTCACTCTCATGTATAAAATAAGATTTAAGACTAGATGACATCTAATGTCAATATTTGCATCTCAACATTTGCATTCTGTTTTAAAGACAAAACCATCAACACAAGTTTCCTAATGTATTAAAGTTTTAATATTTAATTGACAGTCTGGTAATAAATGTAATGATAACAGTATCCTAGCAAGTATGTTTCTGTGTGGTATTTTGAAATCTTAGATATTCCTAAGGATTTCAAATATGGATTCTGTTAGTTACTCTATTTGATGCAAATATAATTCCACGATCTCTTTTTTTCAGGTTGAAACCTACAAATTTTGATTAGGCAAGCTGAACAGTTAGTAAGCATGGCATGGCTGAGAAGCACTCCACCCTACCCCTGATATATTTTCTCGTGATCACCAGGAAAGTCCATTTTCATCTCGAGTTACATGGAAATGCATAGTTCTCACCCTTACTGCATCCAAGGGGCCTAGAGACACTTCATAAACACTCTAAAACTGTTCTCCTTTACTCCTTTATATTTTGTTCAGCCTCTTGAACTTTACAACTCTCAAGAAGCAATCTTTTTTTGGCAGGAAGCTGCATGAGTGATAACCCAAGTAAGCAGTGTCATCTACCTGAAGGATGACACTGGAAATTGCATGATTTGTAAGAGAAGAAATTGTCACATTCTGAATGGTGTTTCATTATGAGTTTGAGCCAGAGTATATCTTCACACAAACTGTTCTTACACCATCCCCAAATTATCTTGCCTCATGAAATTCAAGTTATGAATGTTCATGCAGATTTTTTTCAAAAGGGCAACTTGTGTTTTAATTAATGTTCTTAAAAGGTCTTAAAGGTGAAAAATGTTATAAATTATTGGAGATAATTTGATGAGTTCTAGATTAATGTCATTTATTAAAGATTTTACTTAAGTTTCAGCCAGTGTTAAGCATTTGCTTGATGCTAAATATAGACAGATTACTTCAATCTAATTCTAAAATATAAATGTATAAAATAAGCTTTATGAAATACTAAGGTTTTATTATTTTCAATATGAAAAATTTCTCAGGATTATTTGAAAAGCAAGTTTTTTTTTTTTTATTTGTAGTGGTGAAGGCATTTGCATATGATTAACCATTTGGCAAAGAACCTAAGGCAAGGACAATTTCACTGCTGAAATACTAACTTTGTAAAACAATTAAAATTTTTAAGTAAATTAGATATGAACACATTTTAAATAGTCTTATTTTGAAACAAGAAGTACATTTTTTTTTCTAGGAAAAGCAGTGTAATAGGACAAATTGATTTAAGGCAAATTATCAGTTCTCTGATGTCCTCTGACTATACCTACAAGTGAAGAACTTGTTGTAAAGGTCTCTTCTGGTTATTAAATTACAATTTTATTTTTTTAAATAATAATGCCAAGATCCTCAAATGATATAAAGGTTATGGATGGATAAAAACTTGTGTCTTGTTTGAAGGTTATGAAAATTTGGTGAAAACTGCTGATTAATTTGTTTTTATATTGTCCATATATTATAGTATAATTTTTAATTTCAGTTGTCTTTAATCATGTAACTTGTTTTATATTAATATTTTCATAATTCCAAAGTCTAAAAACAGCACTTATATTCGGTCATATTTCCCTGAAAGTAGGTATTTATATGAGGGTAGGGTTAAGCACCTATCTAGTATAACATTTTCTTTTTTTTAATTTTTTTGAGACAGTTTTACTCTATATCACTCAGACTGCCATGCAGTGGCACAATCATGGCTCACTGCAAACTCTGCCTCCCAGGCTCAAGAGATCCTCCCACCTCAGCCAACATTTTAATTCTTGTTTATTTTTTCCATATTTTTTAGTTATTTTCTTATTGTGTGCTATAAGGTTATTCATCAAAATTCGACTTCAGCTTAATACTAACTTAATTCTGGTAAATACACAGGCATTGTGGGATTAGAAAATGTTAAATTTCTTTTTCTCGTCTTCAAGGTACAATCTTGGGAAGTCCTAGGCCTCCTTCTGTTCTTTTCTTTTTCTTGTTTTATTTTTATCAACTTTAGCTCATCAGCCAAAGGAAATGAAGGATCCATAGAGCCAATTCCCCAATGATTAGAATTATTATTTTAAAATCTCATTGATAACTTTGACCTCTCATAATGAATTACAATTCAGCTGCTCTTACATATATTGGTGATTCTATAGATTTTCAGGCATCAGGGCTTCAGCATTCCTACCCTTCTCTCTTTATTTTCCCCAAACAACATTCCCGTTATGTTTCAGTAAGGGGAGGTCATTCTCACAAATTACACCATTGCCACTACATAGGTTGGAAGGTTCCACAACCATCCTCATATTTGGTGATTTGCTAGAAGGAAGAATTAGGAAAACTTATAGGCAGTTGTACTCATGGCTGTGGATTGGTACCAAGAAAGGATATACAACAGAAACAGCACAGCAAGGGGATAAAGACAGCTGGCAAAGAGTGTGGAGGCATGCCATCACAGACTTCCCATACTCTCCTTAAGGGGCCACACACAGCGCTCTCCTTCTTCTATCAGTGAAACGAACACCATTTCTAGACAGGAAAGTATAATTGAGACTCAGACTCCAAGATTTTATTGGGGGCTGGTTACACAGGCACAACTATAAAAATTTAAGATTTCCATAAGGAAAGCAGGTGTTCACCATAAATCGCATTTTCTGTACAGCAGAGACAGGGTGATACAGCAACCTTATCAATACATAGAACATCCCAAAGCCAAGTTTCTGGGAGCCAGCCAGGGACTTTATTTTCTCCTCCCTTCTAAAGCTCAGGCCTGCTATTCAAACACTCCTGCACACCCCTTGCATGCTGCCATCACTGAATTCCTACCCACTGTCAGATATCAATTTCAGTGTTTAATGCATGTTGTCCCATTAAATTTTCCCCAAAATTTATTAAGGTTATTAATTCCTTCCACTTTTCTGGTAAGAAAAGTTGCAAGGTAGAGAGAAAATTGATTTCAAAAGATCGTACAACTGGGAACGGGTAGCAAGATTTGACTTCAAGGCCTCAATTTTAATCATCACAATATACTCAGATGGTACATCTTCAGAATAAATTTACTGAATGAGTGAATGCCAAGTGAATTGAGACTGACGGTACCATCTTATTTCCCATTATTGTATACAAATAGAGTCCTGTATTCTTACTGTAACTCAGAATTAAATAAAGCAAAAATTATTCCCATTAGGCAGAAGAAGAAAATTAAGAGCCAAAATGTATAAAGATATACAACTATTTATTACCACTTATAATTTAAATACTTTTTCTGGCAAGGTCCACACTTTCTACACCAGCAAATATGCATGTGCTGTTAGAACTGTTACTCTAATTAAAATGCCCAAGTACTGTTGGAAATAGGAAAACTGCTTGCAATTTTGGAGAGTATGAGAGCTCAGAAGATGAAATGTAAATCATAATAGCTTTTAGAAGACAGGTCAGCTGAAGTAGGAAATCTTCTCTACATTCTGTTTTTCAGGGGTGACTATTAACCCAGCACACAGTAATCAGGTCACATATCACATCAAGGGAGAACCACTAGCCCAGTAACTTGTGGCAAGCTTGAACCTCACAGTGGTTCTCACAGAATGAATTACTTCAGTCTGTACTCATTTAAATTTTTTCATTGTAATACTAAAGGCTGGCATTTGTACATAAAAATATAGAGAGAAACAACAATGTTGGAGGTTAATCCAACAATTAGTTTAATTTGACAAGAGCTGAGACATTGAAAAATATGCTGTACAAATAATTTTCTTTGCAATCCTTGAAATAATCACAAATATTTCTCCCCAAAAGAAGGCTGGCTAAGAATGTAAAACAAAAAGTGTGCTTTTACAGAAACCTTAGTTTTTAGAAAATATTAGTGTAGATTTTCTTTATAATATAGATATCTGTATTTCTTCCCAAGGTTAGCAGATTATTATAGTTAGTACAGATTTTACTGTTTATTGTTAGTCACTTAAACTAAAAAGGAAATTCCAGATTAACACACTAAACATATACTGAGTCCCTACTATCAATTAATTTACAAGCTTTCTAAGTGTTTTCGAGTGTAACTAGGGTTGAGAACTATTAAGTTACAGGTTGCCCATTCTGTGTTTAAGTTAACAATTTTTTAGTTAACAATATTTTAGTTAACAATTTTTTTAGTTAACAATTGTAATACATTTCTTGGCCAATGATTATCAAATGTGCATTTTCTGTAGCTACATGGCAGTCCACATAAAACAAAATATAACTTTGAAGACTACAAAGCATGCTTTTGTATAGAAGTCTTTAAATATATAACTCTAACATAACATGATATTTTACTTAGAGATAATAATTATTATTATTATTATTTTGGAGCTAGAGTCTCACTCTGTCACCCAGGCTGGAGTGCAGTGGTACAATCGTAACTCATTGCAGCCTCAAACTTCTGAGCTTAAGCAGTTCTCCCACCTCAGCCTCTCACGTAGCTGGGACTACAGGTGCACACCACCACAGCCAGCTAATTTTTTTTTTTTTTTTGAGACGGGGTTTTGCCATGCTGCCCAGGTGGGTTTCAAGCTCCTTGGCTCAAGTGATTCTCCTGCCTGACCTCCCAAAGTGCTGGAATTACAGGAGTGAGCCAACGTGCCTGGACTCACATAGAAAATTTAGAAGACACAAGGTTTCCAATTCCTATACAGAGTAATAAAAATATGCTTGTTGACAAACATACTATTTTTCAATTTCAATGGTAATTTTTCTTTGAGTAGGCAGAAAAAATAACTAAGGTTCTGCAATCAGCTAAGAGACCTACTTGTTCATCACAAAGTCCTCAAAGGTGGCGTCTTTGTCTATGTAGTTGTTACTTTATTAGTTAAAACTTTCATATCCAAATTATTTGATTTGTCTTACAATGTCCTTTACAAATTATTTCTTATCTCTAGTTCCTGAGGCAGTCATTCCCTTCATAATTCCATAACTTAGAACTACTTTATCTTCCTGGAAATCTCCTTGACTATCCTTATTCATCTATTAAAATTCAATTCATGTTGGGGTCCTAACACCTCAAAGATTTTACTCCATCCTTTCTAATCAGGAGTAAAGGTCATATCTCTGGGCAAGAAAATATATTTCAGTGTATCATAATTTGCCTGATTATAAGTTCATGTAATTTACTGGTTTGTGATCTCCTCCTAGGATAGCAGTCAAACCTTATTCATTTTTATATCATATAAACCTAGCCTGGTAATGAATCTCTTAGATTTAATAGAAGATACTTGGATAATTTTATACTAAGTTGCTTTTTTGCAAAGAGATTGAATTTAAAGTTTCTGAAGTTTCACATATTGTGCATCCTGGAAATATTTGTTTAGTTGAGTGAGTCCACACACTAAGCAGTACATTAGAATTACCTTTTTGATGTAGGGCCCTGTGCCCAGAAAATTTGAGTTAGTAGGTTAACCAGGGACAAGGACTGGTAATGTGCATTTTAACACAGATATCTGGCAATTCTAATGCATGATCATAAGACTGGAAGGCCTTCAGAAACAGTGGCTTGTAATAATGCTCATATGAAAACCACCAATTAATTCATATCATTTTTCTTTTAATTTGTTGATTCAATATATACTTATCCATTCTGGCACCTGCAAGGTACTAGGGGAGTACCAGTGAACAAAAGCAGCCCTGGAGTTTATTTACCCTCAGAGAGATGACAGTCTTACAGTGGTGACAGATGTTAAAAGATTATATCAATAAACATGTAATAATGATAGGGAGTGATAAGTGCTATAAAAGAAAATATAAGGGAACTGGCCTCAGTTTTCAAGGAGCAAGAAATGCTTCTATGAGAAATGACATTTAACATGGGACCACACAAAAATAAATAGAAGCTAACTAAGTGAAGAAGATACAAGAAGCAGATAGGTGATTTTTAAAAAGCATTTTGGATAAGGGGAATTCATCTAGACTGAAGCAGCAAGACTGAGCACACCACTTTGAGAAATCAAGAGACCCTGTGACTGGGTTGATAGAGATCTTTGTAAGGTAAATTCAGAGTATGTATGAGAGTAGAGGTGGGACTCACTGAGGCTTTGAAGTCAGGTGAAGGATTTTGATTATTATTTTAAAAAGAATGGGAAGGTCTCAAGAAAGAGATTCACATGATCAGATCTGAATTTTGGAAAGAACACTGGCTGCTATGTAAAAACTCAGTAGGATTGGGGTAGAGAGTGTGTGTGCTGGGGAGAAAAGTGGGAGAAGGCAGACCAGGCAGAAGTTTAATACAGGAAATAAAAGAAATATTGGTATCTTGGACTATAGTGGCAGCCAGGGATGAAGGGAAGAAGGCATAGTCAAGACAGACTGAGAATTAATAGCTACTTTTGAGTCTCTCAAAAAGAAACTTGTTTTCTGACTTCTTCTAAATGAGATAACTGGTTTGCTTCATGTAGTAGAGGGTTGAAGATACAAGATTGTTGCATGTTAATAGTGCATAGAAGAGGAAATATATTGAAATAAAAAACAAAAGTGCTTTCAATTCAAAGGACTCATGTCCCAGCTCTGAAAACCCCATTGATTTGTCCCCTGAGTAAATCTCCTAAGCACTCTGTTCCTTAATCACTAGTAAGGAAAATGGGGACAGCCCTCAGAAAATGCAAGTGCTGATATAGTTTTATAGGATGATACTATTTCTTATTTCCAGAAATCCACTTGATATGTTATACATCAATCAGATCTTCATTTATTTTTATTTTTTGACTTTTATCTTCAGTTCAGAGGTATATTTGAAGGTTTGTTGCTTAGGTAAACTTGTGTCATCGGGCTTGTTATACAGATGATTTAATCACCCAGATATTAAGCATAGTACCCATTAGTTATTTTTCCTAATCCTCTCCCTTTCAGACAACATCTTTGCCACTTTTTCTCATTCATTTTTCTGAAATATTTTAAGGTAAACTTTGTAGCCTCTTCCTCCTCTCAAAACAAACTCCTCCACCTAATACTAGGTTTAATGATAAGTGATAGCGATATAATTACCTCTCTATTTAGTTAAATGATAGATGATAAGAAGTAACTATTAAAATGACAGTTTAATGTAATGAAAGTGCACATTTCATTTCATGTACTACATAGTCCTTAACTTTTTGGAAATGGTTGATAGGGATAAATGCTAAGACAGAAGTGTTTTCTATAAGGATTTCCAGCCTCTTCAAGAATTAACCAATTATTCTTTATTTAAAATAATTAAGTCACTATATATATTGACTCAATAATTAAGTCAATTCATATATATTGATTGCCTTTGCAGCACATATAAGCACAGTGCCCTAAAGGACAATGTAAGCCTGTTATTGAAGAAAATGTTATCAGGAAAGATTTGATAGAGAAAGTAGCATTTAAGGTGATACTGGAAGGAGTATATTACATTCCCAGGCTGGCCTTGACAAAGTATCAAAAACTGGATGGCTTAAAATAACAGAAATTTATTGTCTCGAGGTTTTGGAACTTAGAATTCCAAAATCAAGGTGTTGGCAGGGCCATGCTGTCTCTCTGAGCATCATTTCTTACCTCTTCTATCTTCTGATGTTTGCTAACAATCCTTGGCTTGTGAATCCATGACTCCAGTCACATGGCCATTTTCTCCCTGTGTCTCTTCACATCCTCTGCCAGCTCTGTGTGTTTACATGTATCTGTTTACAAATTTCCCCTTTTTATAAGGACACTAGTCATATTGGACTAGGGTCCACCCTACTGGCTTCATTTAAACCTGATTATTTCTATAAAGACACTATTTCCAAATTATTCACATTCCACGTACTAAGAGTAGGACTTCACCACATCTTTGTGGGAGACGAGAATTCAACCATTCAACCAGAATTCAACACTGGCTAATTAAGCTAATGGTAGTAGAGCAGGAGCAAGAGAATTGGAGTTAAATGAGCTAACTGTATCATTACTGTCTTGAAATTTACCCTGAAAATAAGAGTAAAATGTGGCTCATCAACAGGAGAATTTTATACCCTTCATAATGGTATCACTAACTGTTCTGAATATTTCACAGGAGAGACAGGAAGGGTTTCAGCTAATGATATTGAAAAGTGAGATGCAGCAATATTTCTAGTACCCACTGTTGGGGACTTCTCTCTTCTTTCTTCCCCTCTCCTGCTGTCAGCTGCCTCTCTGAGTCACTACTCTGTCACTTGATGTAGGAGTGTATGAATTTTTCATTCTAAAAGCCCATTCCCTAGGCAGAAATTCTCAGTGTTTTCAGTGAGATACCTCAGAACAGAACATGACCATTTGCAACACGCTACTGGGAATTCTTCGCTAGCTCAAATTCCTGTTCTTTCTTTTTCTCAAGAGCTTATCAGAGGACATGGGAATAAAAGTGAGTGTTTTTTTGTTTTTTTGAAAGACGTCTTTGATACAAAGCATATAATATTATATTTATCCTAAAAGTGAATTACTAAAATATGAGGACTTGGATAATCACTGTTTATCCATGTTTTGACAAATGTCTTAACCTTTGTAATCTCAGTCACCAGTCTTAAAAACACCTGACAATTCATGTCTTACAAATCTTCCATTCATTTATTCCTAAAGCCACCAAGTCAACTTATATTTAATGCTTGACATATACTTGGCATTGCACTGGGTGATGAAAATACAAACAGGAAGCCACTGGCCTTGCTTTTAAGCAGTTTCTAGTCTATACATAAGCTCTCAGGGGAGCATGAAGTTAACAGTCATTCTATCTTGATGACGCTGACCTCACCCAATAAGATGCACAAACAGAAATGTCTGGAAAACGGAAGCAATGTTAAAAATGGTCAAGAAGTATAAAAATAAACTAAAGAAAATTTGCTTTATATCTTATCTGTAGACAAGTTGTGTTTCTAGGCATTTTCCTTACTATCTGATCCAGTACCTTCTATCAATCAAGAAATACATTTGCATTTTTTATTTGAATTAAAAACATACCCTAGACTCTCATTTTTCTCAGATCTGTGGGGCTGATTCTAAGAATATGAGGCTGTATGGCAATTATGGGCCCCGCACTTTAATTTGAAAGAACTTTTTAATTATAAGAAATGTGGAGAGTGTGGTAAGGAAGAATTTGTTAACAGAAGTGGATCTTTTGGGTTCTTAGGCACAGGGGTTAGAAAGCTGTAAAGAGCTAATGCATGGGCCAGTAAAGTGGGAAGTTTAAGGGACAAAGGTGGAGAAAAAAAGTTTTTCAGGGTCATCAAAAGATATTCTGATTAATGAAACATAATAGTAGATGAAACATGTTAAGGTTGAGAGAAGATGTGATGATCTAGATAACCATAGCCAAACCCACTCAGTCCACAGATACTCAGTGACACAATGAACTTCCTGGTTCATTTTAACTATGACAAAAGTGGCGGCTGAAGTCCAGTGCTTGTGAGTGTCCAGCAAAGTTACTGTCAAGGATATTATCAGTTTTGCGTTTAGAAAAACAGTATCCCTTCAAAATATCTTCCTTGAGAGATGGGAATCAAACAATTATGTAACTATTACTTTGGGCAAAATTATAAATGAAATAAAATAACAGAAAATGTATGAGGACAATAAACTGTGTAACTTCAGCCCACTGTAGTTGTCTGCTGCTCTTTTCTAAGGATGGAGGAGAGAAAGTCAGGAAAATTAAACTTGCTGTGTTTCTAGTTAAGTTGGCAACCATGAATGCATCTCATGCTTCAGATACCCACTGGGAATGTTTTAAGTAACTGCCATTGGCTCAGGCCTGGAAACACTATGCCCCTCTCTCTACTGATAAAACACATAAAAATTTGTTAGCAAAACACAAGTAGCAGCATGTTACTTAATGATTCTGATGATAAAAATCGTGCCTGCAAAGTGTGAGAGTTGGCATGAGCAAAGGATTGTTTAAGTCAAAGGTTCAAAGCTGGATTTTTTTTTTCTTGAAATTCCATTCTTCATGGAATCCAAGAGATTTTTGGAAAAAGATGACCAAGGGAAAGGAACACTGAGGAAGATAAAGTGCTACAACCTATAAGGAAATACTAAGGAGCTATTACACAAAGGAAAAACTAACAGTTTATATGCCCAGGACAGAAATTGATGGTTTGGGGAGTAATGTTATTAAATAGTTCCCTGGGGAGGTATATTTACTATGACTTTGTTATTTTAATATTTAATATTTCTTCATGGAATGGAATTTTGAGAAAACAAAATCCAGCTTTGAACCTCTGACTTAGGCAATTCATTCCTTTGTACCCAACCTTTGACCTTTGTGATCAAAGCTAATAGGAGAATCTGTCTCATGCTCTCCTGCTCTCCTGCTCTCTATTCCTCTGGCTATCCTTTCTTTTCTCCTTTGGTTCTTCATAACTGTCCACATCTCCCAGCCATTAAAAAGTGCCAAAATTCTTTTTACATATTGGAAGTTTCTTTGGCCCCCTTTTCTGCCTGTTTTTACTACTGCGTAGAGGAGAAAGGAAAATTTGAGTCCTGAAATTAGGGGAAAGAAAACCTAATTACCATTTATTTTATTTGTTGTTGTTGTAGTTTTTCCAAAGAAGAAAAAATAAATAAATAAGACAAAACTACATCATACTGAATGGTTAATTGCTTTCCAGGTGCTCTTACGAAATACACTTAACAGATCTGTATACCTCTTGCTAAGGAAATGGTGAACTTACTACCCAAAAGAGCAAGTGACCATAATCTTGGCTATATTACAATGCCATAATTCATATTTTACTAATTAAACCATGGAAGGTACATTTCCATTTGTCTCTTTCCAATCCCTGTATTTCAGCAGAGGCAAAGGTATTCTTAGCACACATACATAAGTAACCTAATTCCAAGACAATAAGACCATCACTTACATTTCAGTCTCAGTCCATTTTTAATATTTTCCTTAGTGGTCTAGAAAAGAAGACTAGCTAATATGAAATGAATGGTATTTTTTAAATAATCTGTTCAGGGATACAGATATCATTCATGAAGGGTTACATATCTCTCTATAAATGCCATTTGTACTATGTAGACTGGGAGTGGGTGTTTTCATGGTTGGCATTTTATTCGTTTCTCTGAATGAATACAAAGAAACCTGACCTTTAGCTCTTTCACTTTCCTCTTAATCAAGATATTACTAATGGGTTTCCCTGAACCCTAAAGGCCAGAAGGAAATACTTAAAATACACTGTTATTACACCCAATCCAAATGCGATTTACATGCATTGAAGATCAGTGTTTGCATTAAAATTCCCGGTATGGTATAGACCTTCTCAGTGGTAAAAGGTCCTCATATAGGATAGGTTGAAAACCTTCACCACCAAATTTTAGAAAACATTATGTTTATCTTGGCCCCTCCAAAAATATATTTTGCTCTGAACTATAACGAATTGTTAACCTGACATAACATCATTTTATCTCCTATAACTGCATCTAAATATCTATCTTAATAAAGGCTTATTAAAGTTTTTCTATGTGGAATAATTGAATATTAGAAAGTTTATTAGTTTTCAATCAATTGGTCTTTTCTTGGAAGGTAAAATACAGATTTCTGGTGAGTTTAGCAATTTACTCTATGGTTTTCTACCCATAAAGAAAGGAGTTATGATAGTATACAGGCAACCAAGATAAATCTCTCACTGATGATGGCGGATTTATAACAAGGCTTTGTAAATTGAATATTCATGTTACAAAAAGTTCTCTTAAACATGAATGATATACAATAACATCATAATTCATTTTTCTTCCTTTACTTCTGTTCACTACAACACTGATGTATTTATTTCTTCTCCTTTCACTTTTATATGCTTGACTTACAATTTCTTAAAATGGAAGATATACTTTAATATGCAATAAGGTGTGTGCACATTACATGTATATGTATGTGATTATATCACTGTAATCAGAGTAGCTGATTCGATTTTGACTGGAGCATAGCAAATTTAACATTTTCTCTTAGGAATAAAACACTTCAATTATCACAAATCCTGAATGAGTAAATAACTGATATAAAAGCTCACATGACATAAGTATAAATCTTAAATGGTAAGGAGGAAGGTGGTTCTCTATAGTATTTCAGAACTAAAAATATCTTTTTGATATTCTCTAGTGTATTTATCTTTCAACCCTTTTGTGAGAGATGGGACAATCAAATTGGTTTAGAAGCACCTATAGGAATGTTAGAAAACATTCTGATTTATTGGTCTATTTTGTGATGAATATTTGACCCAGACAGTATTTGTAAACTGGGAAATTTCATATAATCTGAATTTCCAGATTTTCTTAAAAAATCAGAAGATGGCAACATCGAACCCATGTTCTTTATAGTAAATAACTAGATGGTTCTTAGTAGCAGAATTTTTCAATAAAAAGGGGAATACCTTTCCCTAACTTAAGCATTTCCAATGGCCACAAAAGCCAGGATGGTAAAGAAAATAAATGAAGTCAGCAAGACATAACACATTAGGGTGCTGACAGGCTGCAACAAATTCACGTTGTGTCTTACAGGAAGCACCTGCTACTCTGCACTAACCAAGTGTTTACTACAAAGGAATGCTGTCTCAATAGTGCCACATCTTCCTATTTTCCAAGAAAATCTAGACGCTCAGATTATTATCTTAACTCTCCCAGTTTCCAAGTGTTGTTTGGATCACATGTTGGTTGATTGGATCTAGTATGAAGACCACGTTTGCGACCACTAAGGAAGATTGTTTTTTAAAAAATGTTTATTATGGAGAATTTCGAACACATATAAAAGTGAACAGAATAGTGTGAGGAGCTTCCTTGTGCCCTATGGACAGCTATGGTTAGCTGTGACCTATCCACACACCATTCACTCCTCCTATCCTGTAGTATTTAGAAGCTAATTGCAAACATTATATTGTATCATTTATAAATATTTTCAAACATATTAAACTCACTTTTAGAAAAATAACATGGTAATACATTTTAGCCAAAAGAAGAATCTATCTACCAAGGTACATGCACAAAACTGGTCCACCAATGTTTTATCTGATAAATCACCAAAGTTAAAAACTTAGAGAGCATTGAAAACTACTCAAAAACTAAGTATAGTTTTCAAAAAGCAGACAGCAATGATATGGTTGGCCTTTTGGATTCCTGTCTCATTCTACTACTTCCTACCAGTGAGAATGAAATGGGGTATTTGCTCATTTGGGCATCATCTTGGTTAGAACTTTTAAAAACTTTATCATTGTGGTTTCAAATTCTAGCTCATTTGTAACAGTTGTCAGAGAATTATAATGTAAGTTCTAGTGTCCTATGAATCTCTAGTTGAGCAAGAACAGAACTGATGATTGAAAGAAAGCATCCGTTCGTATCTTGCTGATGAAATAATATTAAGAATCCTCACTCAGCTGATAGCTAGTGCACGTGAAAGGGTTTATCCCATTTGCTCCTCATTTACACTGCATAAATCCAACATAAGGGTTTTGAATGTGGTCAATAGTTTTAATGAATACCCTTCTAAATCCTATTGTTTATAAAGTTGTCCATAAAGAGTTAGTGAAGCTTGAGTATAAGCCACTCACTTATTTCCAACTCATATGGTAAAATACTAGCTCTTTGTACATAAACTTTCTTTCTTTAAAAAATCAGTTACATTAAGTACAAATTTATTTTTACCTAATATGTAGAAAAAGTAGATATCCTCAGAGACTCCATTATATATTTCATTTGAATAAAAGTAGCAGAGGACAATTATTTGCTATTCTGAATAATTTTTTTAAGAACATGTATCTTATTCTGTAAGACATTTTACATTTTGGACTGCTTTGCCCCTGAAAGCCACCATTAAATAAAAAATACAATGATTTTCTAAAAAAGAAAGAATTTCACATAATTATAATGTGTGTATTCATAGGACATCAATATTATAATGATTTTGTCTGGCTCTATGTAGCAATTTGAAAATGAAGCTACAATAATCATCCCTTTTTCCTTCATTTTTAGATTCAACTGAAGTGTTGGACTTCATTAACCTTGTTGGAAACTTAGGAATATAATAAAACTGCTTTGAATGTTCCCTTTAACCTATGATTTAGATGGAACTGAAATTCAAAGCAAAATGGAATTGAAACTAGACAACACATACATTGGTGGAATTAAGAACGTAGTGCAATTTCATGCCATGGTGACTTTATCACACTCGCCATAGCACGGGGGTAATACTCTCAGGAAGAAGAGCAAGTGTAATCACAAAGCTTCCATTTAATTATGTTTATATAAGTAACCAAAACTTTATGTCATTTTTGATAGTTTATACCTGGATACTCAGTATTTTTTTCCAGCAGGAGGCTGGTATATCAGTAGCCCCATCCATTGCACCTCTTGGGTTTGTTAAGTAACAGTGGGGAATACAGGAGAACTTGCACTGTTGTTTGGGTAGCTGGCCTTTCCAGTCACAACTATTCCCACCAAAGCTTCAGCATGCACCTGCCAATCATCCTAATGAGAAACATCTGGTCATTTAATTGAGCAACTCTAGAATGTTTACAGACATAAGCTCCATTCCCAATAAGACCAAGGATTTTAGGCAGGAAAGCATCATAACTACATATTGGTATATGGTAATATGAGGCTGAATGGCAGACAAGTAACTAAAATAATAGGAACTTCTTTATGCAGCTACAAAGAAACCACCTTTCCAGACCATTCTCCCTGCTCATTTGCCTTAACTTTGCTGAGAATGATAGTTGCCGGTTTAAATAGAAATGAGATGGAGGACTGCTGGAAGAAGAAACTTGTTTCTCTTTTAAAATCAATCTTGATTTGAATAAAGGAAGAAAACATGGATACAGACTGTTGACAACTGGATGCTACACCAGTGATATTTGACAGATGAGAATCTGATTAACGGTCCTACAGAAAAAAAAATGTCATAAAATGGATTAATATATTAAAATCTTAGGGAAATGATTTATTTACCACAAAATAATTTATATGGTTCTTCATATAAATTTTTTAGTTATATCAAATATATATGACAGTTATAAAATATTTACCATTTTTGCTACTTCAATTGATTTTTGCTTCCTCAACATGCAGTAAATATGTAATGTTTTCAATTAGATTATTCCAGGAAATAGAATCAAATATCCATATTAACGATGCAAATTTATGATAAAATTATCATATGAAAATATTTTACTAGGTAATACATGAAGAATAATACTTTGCTCACCAATGAAACGCAATTATCTCTAGGTTGAATGACAGAGTTTCAGAGCCTAGAACAGCAATACAAAAAGAAAATAACTTCCCCAAGCTGAATCAGAGAGGGATTTTAGGTATGCAGAATTTAATTACGCTCATTAGTATTAGGCCAGGAGGCAAAGCTTTATTCTAATGAGAAGCCTGATAATGCTTTCAATGATCACGAGCATATTTGGCTATTCCATGTCATCTGTTAAAACAGCTTCTTTCCTAGAACAATGACCTCTGTCCAGAAGCATGTGCTAACATATAATGGTTTTGTTTAATAAGTCTAATTATTTTTCTTGTCCATATTTTATCCCCAAACTGACCAGGCCTGGTCCTCCTGTCACACAAGGGTTCATGATCAGGGCACGATAAAACATGTATTAAACTTTCCTGTGTGTTTTCAAATCAACACTTTCAATCAGACTAATACTTAAGAGACAGCCTGAACCAATAAAATACACACCACTGACTCTAATCCCCACTGTCTTCTAAAGTATAAAACTCTGGACAGGATAAAGAGAAGCTTTCATTTTGTTAATTTAATGAATCTGTATTTATTATTTGTATCTTCCTAGACTCTGAACTGCTTTTGAAGGAAAATAGTTTAAATTGTGTCTGTGACCAAAGAGAGTAAAACAGGAGGTATTATGAATAAAGAGTAGAGAGGAGTAAATGTTTGAGGGCTACAAGAGACTTGCATTCTTTACTTTCTTACTAAGGTATTTTATTTGAATTATTGCTTACCATTGATCATTTATTTTATCCAAGGAACGGCTGAAAGTTCATTTTTCTGCTTCATTGTGTTTAGAGGTTAGAGATGTCTTCAAAACAGCTCAAGGATTTTCCTTTTCATCATCTCTAATGCATGCTATTGTCAAAGGTTTATGGAGTTTTTGTTTTGTTTTTAATAACTTTTGGAAGAATTTATACAGGTGGATAACAAAATCTCTATACTCTGAAGGTGTTTTAAAAGCTGCTGCTTTTTTGTTATTTTACTTAAGCATGGGTTATTTCAAATAGCTCTTGGTAAACTTTCATTGAAATAATTTCTGTAGATTAAATATAGATAAGTAATATCAATAAATGCTCATTGAGCCCATGCAAATTGTTCATATGATATTGTGTATCATATTTTTCAACTATAATAAATATAAAAACTATTTATTATCTTCGATCACTGGGAATTTAGCGTTTTTTAAATCATGTTAATTTTCTGGATATACATGTAGTCCTTATTTATTCCATCTTTATTTTACATCATTGGGTTTTTTTTCCCTTCACTATTGATCACATCCTTAAACTCAAGATCAGCAAAGACATCATAATTTCATTTCAGAAAAGTAAAATTAGCATTGGAGTTTGGAACAGCAAATAAATATTTATGGAAAAAATGTAATCGTTTATTATTTCAAATTATGAGAAAATAAGCATTTTATGCTTTGTAATGCCTCATACATCTTTAAATAATAAGTTATCAAATGTGCAGCTACTATTGGAAGATAGGATGAAAATGTTTTAGTGAAAGTCCTATGTTCCAAAGCGGCCTTGGAAAGTCTCTGGCCGGGCGCGGTAACTTATGCCTGTAATCCCAGCACTTTGGGAGGCAGAGGCGAACGGATCACTAGGTCAGGAGTTTGAGAGTAGCCTGACTAACATGGTGAAAACCCGTCTCTACTAAAAACACAAAAATTAACCGGGCGTGGTGCCACACGCCTCTAGTAGTTCCAGCTACTAGTAGTTGCAGCTACTCGGGGGGCTCAGGCCGGGGAATCGCTTGAACCCGGGAGGCGGAGGTTGCAGTGAGCCGAGATCGCGCCACTGCACTCCAGCCTGGGCGACAGAGCGAGACTACGTCTCAAAAAAAAAAAAAAAAAAAAAAACAAAAAGTCTGTGTTAGTCCGCTTCATCAAATTGTAAAATCAGAGCTAAATAACTCAGGATAAAGAGTGATATTTTCTTTTTGTGATAGTTTCTGTGAAGATTTCAAAACCTTTCACAGTACTTTACCTGCCTGACATGTCTGTCTTTCTTACCTCATATATGAATTTAGCTCACGATTAAAGCCTATTTTTCTTTTTCAAAAACTATGGTGAGGCCTGGCGCAGTGGCTCACGCCTGTAATCCTAGCACTTTGGGAGGCCGAGGTGAGCTCAGGAGTTCGACACCAGTCTGGGCAAGGTGGCAAAACCCCCCGTCTCTACTAAAAGCACAAAAAATCAGCCGGGCGTGGTGGTGCACGCTTGTAATCCCAGCTAGTCAGGAGGCTGAGGCAGGAGAATCGCTTGAACCCGGGAGGCAGAGGTTGCGGTGAGCAGAGATCGCACCATTGCACTCCAGCCCGGGGGACAGAGTGAGACTCTGTAAAAAACAAAACAACAACAAAAGAAACACGATACTGAACAGCTGTTCCCTTTTTTCTTATAATCACCTTAAATATTCTAGTATTTCACTATCGTTATCCACCCTTTTAAAGTTACTTTCTGGCATTATATTTTTATTCTATTTTTTGGAACAGAATAAGGAACAGAATGAGGAACAACTATTCATACCTTATTCTTAATACCTATAAAACATTAGTACCAGCACACTCTTCTTTTGCAGCCCTTTTTCCTTTTTCTGTCTTTCACTGTTACATATTCTAGCCCTACCAGGCATAGGTCAATAAGTGGTCATTTGTTTTTGCATTTAACAAATGTTGAGAAATGACTACTCTATACCAGTCACTAAACTAATCATAAGAGATATGCTCAGTCCCACAGTCTAGTGGGAAAGGTAGAATAAAACTAATACAGATGCAATAGGTCAAATGATGATAAAGTGTGCAGGAAACAATTTAGCTTACCTGATGCAGCTCATCTCTTTTCTATCTTTGGAAGGGCTTGCTTGTATAGCTGGCCCTGAAAATTTCTCCTCTGAAAACTCCCCTGTGTTACTAATTGTTAAGGTTATTTTATGTTTGTGGCACTTAAGCATACTGTACCAACTTGTCTAGCTAATTTGTGGAAATATGGTATATTGTGGACACCTGCTTTCCTTCTAGGTCTGGAGTTTCAGTAATGATGGCTTTCACACAGACAGTATGTTCCTGTGTGAGGGATTTGGGCCGTAATCCTTAAAGACACAGTCCTCAATGCCATAATCCCAAATGTTGAAATCCCAAAAGATCAAAATTCCTAGTTTAAAATCTCAAAGATATAAACCTGGAAAATTATTTTGAAAATTTAAAGGCATTTATTTGCCTTTTAAAACAGTATTTGAGAAATACATAGAAATACTACAGAACACTTTGTTACTTTATACCATAAAATAGGCAATAATAACATACATATTTTTGCAAGCATAAACACTAGGTATACTAACAATAGTTGCATGGGTATAGCAGTCATGTAGTCATAAAGAAAGAAATCAAAAAGTAAAATGTGTAAATGCTTATCACTGTGGTTGGTAATTGTGTGCACATAGCTTTGTAGGTGTGGTCATCTGAAATATGTGGAACAATCTAAGTCTTTGACAGGATGGATCAAAACACATAATGGATCACTACTGCAGTTGCTCAAAGAGCTGAGAGCTCAAAAAATTTTATCTTCCACAAGTGCCAATGCCCAAAAAGAACATCATTTACTGAAGAAGTTTGAACGTATACATGCACAATGCCTATACGCGAAGTTAATGTTGTGATAATACATTTGGTGGAATCAAATGTACAAGAATATGCATAAACTGAATTAGAATTCTGTAAAAGTCTTTATATAATTTATACCTCCAGTGTTGGAAATGATATGAAGAGGAAATTCATAGCATAGCAAATTGTAAAAAATAATGCTGACACTTTAAATAGTGAAACAAACAAACAAACAAAAAAGCACACAACCAAAAAAAATCTAAAAAGTAAATTTGACATGTAAAAGTATATTACAGAAATAGTTTATGGGCAATTGCATGGAGGTACTCCATAAGAACTCGCCAACTTTGCATGATTAATAACTATATTTTGAAGTCTTGCATTGCAATGAATAAGTGCTTTGTTTTAGAGGGACCACGAGGCTGGCTTTCCTAGGAAAAATACATTCACATTTATTTTCTACATGGTTCGACTCTTTATGAAATTCTTCTATGATTCAGTATACACTGACATGAACATTCCCTATTAAATTTTCTCATCTTCTGTGCCATGCTTCTATGTTGTTTTGGATATGCAGAAACCCCTTCCACATGCACTCATATACAGACACAAATCTGGCAGAAAAAATACTGGTGATTGAATAGCAATAACATTGTGTAAGTATCTTCTTAACTTAACCATGTGCATAATTATTTTCAAATCAGTCAATAACTTCCCTGACTTCTTTCATTCACATTTCATTCACATTTCTTTCAGGCAAATGTGGCTTTATTTCATTAAAAGCTTTTAGAATATCATCAACTGTAAGAAATGTCAATGCAGACAAATGAGGCATTTTTAAACTGAAGTTCTCATTCTTGCTGTACTGAGTGCCAACCCACTCATCTGAATTTTCTGCCCAATGCAAATATAGATAATAATAAAATAATATTTCCACCTAGCATGATGCAACTAAAATGATGCATGTATCCTGCATATGACAAAAAGTGTACTAGTTCCTTCTCGAGAATTTGGCTTCCGGGATTTTAATATTCAAGATTTTAATATTTCAAAATTGTGATTTTCAGAATTTTCGACATTAGGAAAGGAGGATTTTAATCTCTCAGGATTTCAGCATTTGGGATTACAATGTTCAGGATTTTGTCTTTTGAAATCATGATCCTGTCTGGGCGTGGTGGCTAATGCCTATAATCCCAGCACTTTGGGAGCCCGAGGTGGGCAGATCACAAGGTCAGGAGTTCAAGACCAGCCTGGCCAACATTGTGAAACCCCGTCTCTACTAAAAATAAATAAATAAATAAAAAATAAAAAAATTAGCTTGGTGTGGTGGTGCAAGCCTGTAATCCCAGCTATCCTGGAGGATGAGGCAGGTGAATTGCTTGAACCCAGGAGGCGGAGGTTGCAGTGAGCTGAGATCACGTCATTGCACTCCAGCCTGGGCGACAGAGCAAGACTCTGTCTCAGAAAAAAAAAAAAAAAAAAAAAAAAAAAGAAAGAAATTATGATCCCAACTGCTATGAGAGCAACCTTCTGTATAAAATACGAACTCTGCACTAAAGCTGGGTTCCCTGGGCAGAAGCACTTTATATGTGTTCTTACAGTTTGCTGCTGGAAGAATTATCATGTCTTTTGCAGCCCCTGATGGGAAAGTACTTTGGAACCCTGCATCTAATCTGACTCCAACTGATTCATTTTCCATTGTTGATCCTTCTCTGTAATCTCTTTTTTAATGTAATAAGTATAATCCTGTGAATAAATACATCTAATCTGAACCCTTTTAGCAAATCACTGAATGAATAGTTGGTCATGGAACCCTCCCTGAACATAAAAGTAAATAAAAAAGATAAGCAGAGTAAAGGGGAGAGGAATGACAGCAATATGCTATTATTTTAGACAGGGTTTTTAGGAAGGCTTGCTCTAATAATGCCAGTAGAGACCTGATTAAATGACCCATCAAGTTAGGCAATACATGGAGGAAGAATGTTCCAGCTAGAGACAACAGCAAGTGCAAAGACCATAGAATATTACAAGTTTGATGGTTCCAGTGTGACTAGAGCTTCAGAAGTGAGGTGGAGAGATATATGATAGAGTTTAAAAAGATAGTCCAGGCACAGACCATGTTTAATGTCAAAGGAATTAAATGAAAACTTACAATATCTTACTTCTCAATGCTCAAGAAATCAACAAATATATTTAAATGATTTATGTTGCAAAAGGTAGATAATACATTGGCACATGAATCTTTTCTTGCTAAATGAATCTAAAAAACATCTCTCATTAAGGAACATTGTATTCAGATCTTATAAACCTTACAAATAAGGGAACTAAAGTTTTTCTCTAGGTGTTAAATAATAAGATCTATATATTATGAATAAGATTAATGACCAGTAGGGCAAATTAAAAGATTATCTAACTATGTGACTATAGATTTTGAAAAGAAACAAAACCTGAAGTCAAATTTATCTGAGAATAATTTCAAGGATGTTAAGTAGATGCACTATTTGAGAATTTACAGAGTATTTGATTAATTGAACTAGAGTACAACATAAAATCATCTCGGGCCAAGGGTGTGAACATTCATTTTATAACAAATGAAGTGCAACACGTGCCTGTGACCAGGGAACCAAATGATCCTATTAAATAGCACACCACCCAGAAGCTGCCAATTAGTGCAATGGAACAGACTTTGGAAGGGTCTTGTGAAGTGTGAACTTGGAGATGACACCATGCAGCATGGGATGCTATTCTTCAGATGCAGTATGCACCTGGCATAAGAAAGCTGGTCTGTGGTAGATAATATGCTTATTTCCAGGGCTTTCAAGAGCCATAGGACTGATACTTGGCCCCCAAAAGAATAAAATGTAACCACTGGTGATTTATAATGATCTGTTTTAAATCTGAAAGTCCCCTGAAGTCACCTGATAGGATTTGGCTGTGACCCCACCCAAATCTCATCTTGAACTGTAATAATCTCCATGTGGGATTATTACACATGGGGTGCGGCCAGGTGGAGATAATCGAATCATGGGGGCAGTTTCTCCCATAGTGTTCTCCTAGTAGTAAATAAGTCTCAAGTGATCTGATGGTTTTATAAAGGGGAGTTCCCCTGCAAAAGCTCTCTTACCTGCTGCCATGTAGGACATCCCTTTGCTCTTCGTCTTCCACCATGATTGTGAGGCCTCCCCAGCCATGTGGAACTGTGAGTCCATTCAACCTCACTTTCTAATAAATTACCCAGTCTTAGGTATGTCTTTATTAGTAGCATAAGAACTGACTACTACATCACCCTGTACTAACTTGTTTGCATTGTTTATTGAAAATGTACTGAATGGTGGTTTGCACCTGTTTAAACATGTTACATAGAACAAAGAGTATAAAAACCCTCAGTAAACTTATACCTTAGCTTACCTGAGAGTAATATAACTGCTTGGTTCATAATCTGAAGGTGAAGTACATTCTTTGCAAAAAACCCAGGTTGCTGTGTCTGGAAGTTTTTTGACCTTTCTATGTTTCCCTGTATTTTCTTTTTCATGCTGTGTCATTTCCTTTTCCGATACTAAAGCCTGTATGAGGATACTTTGTGGATTCTCAGCAATTATTCAACCCTGTATAATTTCTGCTCATTCCAAGTTAACAACCATATTATAATGCTGTGTCCACATAATGAAATTCATGGTCTGAAAACCAAGAGGTAGAACTCAGTCGTCTGTTTACTTATAATGAGGCGTCAACAAATATAAATTACTTTTTAATTCAGTAATTTAATTTAATTGAGGGTATATTAACAACAGGTTGATATACAATGTCATGTGATGCATATATTGTGAACAAAGGCACACTGCTTTGCCCTTGTCAACTGACAATCTAATGAAGGTAGACATTAAATAACATAAAATATTTTGGAACTATCATAAGTGCCACAAGGATATTATATTTATCATTTATTTATACTCATTTGTATTACCAATAATCAAATGAAATGAATTTTTAATCTTTTCTAAGCCAAATATATGATGTGTATGTGACATGTATTCATATAATTTAATATATTCTATTATGAAAATTGAAGTGCATGATATTTAGGTTTCAAAATTATTTCTGTAAATGGTTAATAGTACTAAAGAATGTTATTAAAGAAGTAGCAATAAAAGTGCTGCAATGATTTTTTTTTAGTTTAATGGTCTTTTCAAAGTCATCTCCAGAAGCAGAAAATACCATAGATATTGATGGAAAATGTGAATTTAATCAAGAAATAAAATATCTGTATATTTTAAAAGGCATTGAATACGCTCAAACAAGCAGCTTCTGCATAGCTTTAATCTCTTCTTTAAAGAAAGTTTATGACTATAATACAAATCAAATTTATTTTTATATGAGCAATTTTAAAAGAGAATGAAGGAGACTGCGCTGACCTTTGGAACAATATGGCTTCTATTCTTTACTTAGGCTTCTCTGGTTTTATTTCTTGCTAAGTGACTTGGTGATACAAAGGCAACAGAGCAATTTATTATTTTTATTATACAACATTTCATATTACATAGAGATATTGTCATTGAAAAAATTGGCTTCTGCCTCCGGTTGCAATAACAAAATGACAGCTTTTATGATAAACTTGATACTCACCAAGCTCCTCCGTCTGTTTCTTCTAGTCCTTGGGTCACTGGTGCCCTGAAAACTACACAATCATATTCATTAGCAATAGTTCTTGTTTATTAGATATTTCTGTTTCTGGCTTTATTCTAATCTGCTTGTCAGTCATAATTGCCAACAATTTATTGAGACAAATCATAGCCTGTCATACTATTTGGAACCACATAATATGATAGCCTTTGCATTAATTCAAATATCTGATTCCAGCTGCTCAATTGTATGAATAAATTATAGTGGAAGTCCAAAATGCTTATGGCCACTGGAAGTCTCTCATTTAACATTCAACTTGTCATTTGCATTATTTTAACTTAAAATACAAGATAGTCCCCTGGCATATTGGCTGGAATTATGTATAAAGCAATTTAGAAATTATGTGATAGGTTCAAGAAACTTAAAAAAAAAATCCCTAGCTTAACTGAAACATAATAAATCTACCCTCTCATTATTTCATTTTCGATGTGGACGCATTGTTTTATGACAGCATTGTAAAACTGAAGTGTCTACAATATGTTTTAAAACTGCAACAATTGAGAAAGCAGAGGTAATTAGGAAGCTTACTAGGGATTTAAATGTGAGTGTTTTAATGACCTTCAGCCATCCCCAAAGTAATTAAAGACAGAGGAAAAATAATTGAGGTTGATTTGCTTTCAATAAGTGAGTAGTTCCTGATTTGAAAGATTATAGATATTTTTATACTTCCACAATGCAAAACTTTCTCAAAAAATAAATTACCTTGAGAAGATGCTTAAAAGGCACATACTTATTCTGTGAGGTTGCCTTAACATCCACCTAATTCTAGTTATTCAAATACTTCACATCTATCTTAATAAATGTTATTTGATTGAATTCCAAATCACTCAATATTTTACATATTATTTATAATAGTTTTGTGTTTCATATTGTTCTATCTTTCCAAAGCTTAATGGTTATTATTGACTCACTGACATATGCCATGCTTTCTGTTGTTAGCTACCACTTTAAAAAGAGGAATGCTTGTGATTTTTGCACATTGATTTTGTATCCTGAGACTTTACTGAAGTTTCTTATCAGTTTAAGGAATTTTGGGGCTGAGATGATGGGGTTTTTCTAAATATAAAATCATGTCATCTGCAAACAGAGACAACTTGACTTTCTCTCTTTCTATTTGAATATCCTTTATTTCCTTCTCTTGCCTGATTGCCCTGGCCAGAACTTCCAATACAATGTTGAATAGGATTGGTGAGAGAGGGCATCCTTGTCTTGTACCGGTTTTCAAAGGGAATGCTTTCAGCTTTAGCCCATTCAATATGATATTTGCTGTGGGTTTGTCATAGATAGCTATTATTTTGAGGTATGTTCTATCAGTACCTAGTTTGTTGAGAGTTTTTAACATGAAGGAATGTTGAATTTTAACAAAGGCATTTTCTGCATCTATTGAGATAATCATGTAGTTTTTGTCTTTGATTCTGTTTATTTGATGGATTATGTTTATTCATTTGTGTATATTGAAAGTATACGCCTTGCATCCCAGGGATGAAGCTGACTTGATCATAGTGGATAGGTTTTTTGATCTAATGCTGGATTCTGTTTACCAGTATTTTATTGAGGATTTTTCGCATTAATGTTCATTAGGGATATTGGCCTGAAGTTTTCTTTTTTCTTGTGCTCTTCCCAGTTTTTGTACCAGGATGATGCTGGCTTTATAAAATGAGCTAAGGAAGAGTCCCTCTTTTTCAATTGTTTGGAATAGTTTCAGAAGGAATGGTACCAGTTCTTCTTTGTATTTCTGGTAGATTTCAGCTGTGAATCTGTCTGGTCCTGGCCTTTTTTGGGGTGGTACGCTATTAATTACTGCCTCAATTTCAGAGCTTGTTATTGGTCTGTTCAGGGATTTAACTACTTCCTGGTTTAGTATTGGTAGGGTGTATGTGTCCAGGAATTTATCCATTTCTTCTAGATTTTCTCGTTGATTTGTGTAGAGGTGTTTATAGTATTCTCTGATGGTAGTTTGTATTTCTGTGGGGTCAGTGGTGATATCCCCTTTATCATTTTTTATTGTGTTTATTGGATTCTTCTCTCTCTTATACTTTATTAGTCTAGCTAGCTGTCTATCTATTTTGTTAATTTTTTAGAAAAAAAACAGCTCCTGGATTCGCTGATTTTTTGAAGGTTTTTTTTTTTTTTTTTTTTTTTTTGTCCCTATCTCCTTAAATTGTTCTCTGATCTTAGTTATTTCTTGTCCTCTGCTAGCTTTTGGATTAGTTTGCACTTGCTTCTCTAGCACTTTTAATTGTGATGTGAGGATGTCGATTTGAGATCTTTCTAGCTTTCTGATGTGGGCATTTAATGCTATAAATTTCCCTCTTAACACTCTTTCAGCTGTATCCCAGATATCCTGGTGTGTTGTCTCTTTGTTCTCATTTGTTTCAAAGAGCTTCTTGATTTCTGCCATAATTTCATTATTTCCCCAGGAGTCATTTAGGGGCAGGTTGTTCAATTTCCATGAAATTGTGTGGTTTTGAGTGAGTTTCTTAATCCTGAGTTCTAATTTGATTGCACTGTGGTCTGAGAGACAGTTTGTTATGATTTGAGTTCTTTTGCATTTGCTGAGGAGTGTTTTACTTCCAATTATGTGGTCAATTTTAGAATAAGTGCCATGTAGCACTGAGAACAATGAATATTCTGTTTATTTGAGGTAGAGGGTTTTGCAGACCTCTACTAGGTCCACTTCATCCAGAGCTGAATTCAAGTTCTGAATACCCTTGTTAATTTTCTGTCTCATTGATCTGTGTAATACTGAAAGCAGAGTGTTAAAATCTCTCACTAGTCTTGTATGAGAATCTAAGTCTCTTTGTCAGTCTCTAAGTACTTCTTTTACGAATTTGGGTGCTGCTGTATTGGGTGCATATATATTTAGAATAGTTAGCTATTCTTGTTTAATTGTTCCCTTTACCATATGTAATGCCCTTCTTTGTCTTTTTAGATTTTTGTTGGCTTAAAGTCTGTTTTTTTATAGACTAGGATTGCAACCCCTGCTTTTTTTTTTTCTATCCATTTGCTTGGTAAATTTTCCTCCATCCCTTTATTTTGAGCCTGTGTGTGTCTTTGCAAGTAAGATGAGTCTCCTGAATACAGCACACCCATGGGTCCTGACTCATCCAGTTTGCCAGTCTGTGTCTTTTAATTGGGGCATTTAGCCCATTTACATGTATGGTTAGTATTTTTATGTGTGAATTTGATTGTCATCGTGATGCTATTTGGTTATTTTGCACACTAGTTGCAGTTTTTGGTAACGTCATTGGTCTTTTATTTTGGTGTGTTTTTGTTATTTTGTTTGTGTTGGTGTGTTTCTGTTATTTTGGCTGGTATTGGTTTTTCCTTTCCATATTTAGTGCTTCTTTCAGGAGCTTCTGCAGGGCAGGCCTGGTGGTAATGAAATCCCTCAGCATTTGCTTGTCTGAAGAGGATTTTATTGCTCCTTCACTTATGAAGCTTAGTTTGGATGGATATCAAAATCAGTGTTGAAAATTATATTCTTTAAGAATGTTGAATGTTGTCCCCCAATCTCTTCTGGCTTGTAGAGTTTCTGCTGAAAGGTCTGCTGTTAGTCTGATGGGCTGCCCTTTGTAGGTTACCTGGCCTTTCTCTCTGCCTGCCCTTAAGAGATTTTCCTTCATTTCGACCTTGGGGAATCTAAAGATTATGTGTCTTGGAGTTGATCTTCCCATGGAGTATCTTAATGGTGTTTTCTGTATTTCCTGAATTTGCATGATAGCCTGTCTTGCTAGGTTGGGGAAGTTCTCCGGGAAAATATCCTGAAGTCTGTTTTCCAGCTTGTTTCCATTCTCCCTGTCTCCTTCTGGTACTCCAATCAATCATAGGTTCAGTCTTTTTTTGAAGTCCCATATTTCCTGGAGGCTTTGTTCATTCCTTTTTATTCTTTTTTCTCTATTCTTGTCTGTATGTCTTATTTCAGTAAGGTGGTCTTCAAACTGATATCCTTTCTTCTGCGTGGTCGATTTGGCTGTTAATACTTGTGTATGCTTCACGAAGTTCTCTTGTTGTGTTTTTCAACTCCATCAGGTCCTTTAAGTTCCTCTCTAAACTGGTTATTCTAGTTAGCAATTCCTCTAACTTTTTATCAAGGTTCTTAGCTTCTTTGCGTTGGGTTAGAACATCCTCCTTTAGCTCATCGTAGTTTTTTATTACCCTTCTTGTGAAGCCTACTTCTGTCAATTCATCTATCTGATTCTCTGTCCAGTTCTGCGGCCTTGATGGAGAGACATAGTGATCATTTGCAGGAGAAGAGGCTCTCTGGCCTTTTGGGTTTTCAGCACTTTTTTCACTGATTCTTTCTCATCTTCAGGAGTTTATCTAGTTTTGGTCTTTCAGGCTGCTAACCTTTGGATGGGGTTTTGTGGGGGCCTTTTTGTTGTTATTGTTGATGCTGTTGTCACTTTCTGCTTGTTTTTTGTTTCAATACTCAGGTCACTATTCTGTAGGATAGTTTTTGATTTGACATTTAAGTGTTTAATCCATCTTGAGTTGATGTTTATGTATGGTGTAAGGAAAGGGTCCGGTTTCTGTTTTCTGCATGTGGCTAGCCAGTTCTCCCAGCACCATTTACTAAATAGGGAATCCTCTCCCCATTGCTTGTTTTTTGTCAGGTTTGTCAAAGATCAGATGGCTGTAGGTGTGCAGATTTATTTCTGGGTTTTCTATTTTGTTCCATTGGTCTATGTGTCTGTTCTTGTACCAGTACCATGCTGTTTTGGTTACTGTACCCCCGTAGCATAATATGAAGTCAGGTATCCTGATGTCTCCAGCTTTCTTCTTTTTGTCTAGGATTGCCTTTGCTATTTGGCTTCTTTTTTGATTTCATATGAATTTTAAAATAGTTTTTTTTCTATTTTCTGGGGGTTCACTCCAGACCCTTTTCATCTGAATCACTCCCATGCCTAGAATGTCACTCAAGGAGTCTAGAGAGCATCAAAGATGGGTGTCTGCTCCTTCTTCTGGGACCTCTGACCTTGAGGAGCACCAACCTGATGCCAGTAGGATTGCTCCTGTATAGGGTATCTGACAACCCCTGTTGGAGGGTCTCACCCAGTTGGGTGGCATGAGGAGCAGAATCCATTTGTCCCTTGATGGAGAGGGTATGATTCACTTGGGTAAAACCCACTCCTCTGGGCTGCCCGGATTTCTCAAAACTACCAGGAGGAGAGGCTAAGTCTGCTGGTCCACAGAGACTGTGGCCACCCCTCCTACTAGGGTCTCAGGCCTTGGGAGATCAGAATTCTGTCTCTGAGCCTCTAGCTGGCATTATCTGGAGATCCTGCAGGGAAGCCGGGGCCACTGAGAAAGGATAGGTCAGGGTTAGGCCTGAATAGGCACTCTGGCTGCAGACTGCCACAGCCGGTGTGTTGGGCTGTGGGGACAAATCTTGGGACCAAGCCATCCAGTCTTCCTGGCTCCAGCAGGGGAAAAGTGCAGCCTGGACCTATAGAAATGGGTGCCATTCTTCCCCCACCCTTGGAGCTTAGTGTGTTAGGCAGTTGTGAGAGCCAAATCATGAATAAACTCCCATTCACAATTGCCGCAAAAGGATACCTAGGAATACAGCTAACAAGGGAAGTGAAGACCTCTTCAAGGAGAACTACAAACTCCTGCTCAAAAACAGCAGAGATGACACAAACAAATGGAACAACATTCCATGCTCATAGATGGGAAGAATCAATATTGTAAAACTGGGATACTTCCCAAAGCAATTTGTAGATTCCGTGCTATTCCATTAAACTACCATTGACATTATTCACAGAATTAGAAAAAAAAAAACTATTTTAAAATTCATATGAAATCAAAAAAGAAGCCAAATAGCAAAGGCAATCCTAGACAAAAAGAAGAAAGCTGGAGACATCAGGATACCTGACTTCATATTATGCTATGGGGGTACAGTAACCAAAACAGCATGGTACTGGTACAAGAACAGACACATAGACCAATGGAACAGAATAGAAAACCCAGAAATAAATCTGCACACCTACAACCATCTGATCTTTGACAAACCTGACAAAAAACAAGCAATGTGGAGAGGATTCCCTATTTAATAAATGGTGCTGGGAGAACTGGCTAGCCACATGCAGAAAACTAAAACCGGACCCTTTCCTTACACCACATATAAACATCAACTCGAGATGGATTAAACACTTAAATGTAAAATAAAAAACTATAAAAACCCTAGAAGAAAACCTAGACAATACCATTCAGGACATAGGCATTGGCCAATATTTCATGACAAAGATGCAAAAGCAATTGCAATAAAGGGAAAAATTGACAAATGGAAACTAAAGAGCTCTCTGTACAGTAAAGGAAACTATCAACAGAGAAAACAGACAGCATACAGAATAGGAGAAATTTTTTGCAACTTATGCATTTAACTTACAAAGGTCTAAAATCCAGCATCTATAAGGAACTTATACAAATTTACAAATAAAGAAAAACAACCTCATTAAAAAGTGGGCAAAGGACATGGACAGACACTTATCAAAAAAAGACATACATGCAGCCAACAAACATAAAAACAAATCTCAACATTACTGATCAATAGAAAAATGCAAATCAAAACCACAATGAGATACCATCTTACATCAGTCAGAATGTCTATTTTTAAAAGTCAAAAAATAACAGATGCTGGAAAGGTTGCAGAGAAAAGAGAATGCTTATACACCACTGGTGGGAGTGTAAATTAGTTAAACCATTGTGGAAGTCAGTGTGGTGATGCCTCAAAGCCCTACAGGAAGAAATACCATTCGGCCCAGGAATCCCATTACTCAATATAAACCCAAAGGAATATAAATTGTTCTAGGCTAAAGACACATGCATGCATATATTCATGGCAGCACTATTCACAAAAGCAAAGACATGGAATCCACCTAAATGCTCATCAATGATAGACTGGATAAAGAAAATGTAGCTCATATATGCCATGGACTACTATGCAGCCATGAAAAGGAACGAGATGACGTTCTTTTCAGGGACATGGATGGAACTAGAGACCATTGTACTTAGCAAAGTAACACAGGAACAGAAAAACAAATACTGCATGTTCTCACTTATAAGTGGGAGCTAAGTGATGAGAACACATGGACACACAGGGGGAACAACACACACTGGGGCCTGTTGGAGGAGGAGTGGGTGGGAGGAGGGAGAGGTTCAGGAAGAATAACTAGTGGATGCTGGGCTTAATACCTGGGTGATGAGATGATCTGTGCAGCAAACCACAATGGCACACATTTACCTATGTAACAAACCCACACCCTGGACATGTACCCTTGAACTTAAAATAAAAATTGGAATTAAAAAAAAGAGATGCCTGAAGTATTACCAAATATTATTGAAGGTAATAATCAGGTAGCATGATTTAGATTTTGTAGTGCTTTTTAAACTTCCTTTCTTGTTCTCCTTACTTTGATTTTTCAGATTTATTTTTAGCTCTATTATAATTGATAGACAGTAAACTCAATATCACTAAACTGTACACTTTGATAAAATTTAACATGGGTATACATCACTGAAGTCACCACCACCACCACAGTACCTCTAAAACTTTCCTCTTACCACTTTGTAATGGCTCCTTACTGATCTTTTGCTTCTTCACCTCCTATCCACACTGACATGCATTTTCTAGAATTGCATTTAGATTGAGTTATGCATATCTTTTCTTTTTTTAATATTCCTTCATTTACCCAATACACTTATTTTGGGATTTATCCATGTTGTTTATATATAAAGACATAGTTTATTCATTTATACTATTGAATAGTATTCCATTGAATGAATATACAACATTTTTTTAATCCATCCTCTGATTAATGAATATGTGGGTTGTTTCCAGGTTTTACTATTACAAATAAATCTGCAATGGACATTCATGCTTAAGTCTTTGGGAGGAAGCATACTTTTATTTTCCTTCAATAAGTTCTAAAAGAGGAATGGCTGGATTGTATGACATATGTTTTACATTTTAAATAATTTCCAAGTCTTTTTCTCATATAGTTATAGTATTTCATAGTCCCACCAGTAATGCATGAGGGTTCTAGTTACTCCATAACCTTTTCTGCATTTGATGTGGCCAATGTTTTGGATTTTACCCACTCTGGTGTGTGTACTGGTATCTACTTACAGTTTTAATTTTTATTTCCCTAGTGACAATGGTATGCATGTATTCATGTACTTATTTTTCATTCATTTTTGGTTGCTTATTGATAGATCAATTGATTTTTTGCTGGTGTATTTTTATGAATATTCTTGAGCTTTCCCCCCCCATCCTTTGTGTTTCAAATTCCAATAAATACATTGCTCCAATATAGTACTGGTATTTTGCTAATTTCCAAATATTCATTTAAAGTCACTTGTTCCAGTATTATATTTTCAATGTTCTACTTTGTTTTTTAAATAATATTAAACATTTATTTTATATTTGCTTTTTAGTAGTGCCAATGTTTTCAATTTTACAAAATTGCTTCATTTGGAGTTGTTTCTGTTGAATCTTGAACATGGTATCATACTTCCTCATAATAAAAGCCCATGTTCCTTGGAAGATTGATAAGGGGAAAAAATTGAGACTGATTTTAAGGTATATTCCTCTAGAATGTTGGAATTTGCTTCTGCTAGTTGTCTGGCATGCTGTCAACCTGGAAACATGGTTATTAATATCTTCTACATGAAGGGTTTAAGAATGAGATTGGGATCATGATTTCAATTTTAAAACTACATGAAGTATAGCCTGTGCCTAAGAATTCTGAGAGAGTATCCAGCAACAAAACTAAGTTGATCAAGTTACCTTATTATCTTTATTTTTTATTTTTTGGTGACGGTTGTGTTCTAATTCACCTTTTCACTGAACATGTGGTTCTTTTTTTTTTTATACATGAACATTTTTATGGCTCACTGTAACATACTTTTCAACTAAATTATATTTATAAATCAGAATTGATCTTTCAATTCCTATAAAGCTCTCAATGTTAACAAAATTCCCTTATATTGAATTACTATACAATTATTAATAGTACCCAATTGATTAAAGCATGAAAAATAAATTTTACTGGAAATATATTCCTTAATGAGATGGATGGGGCTTTTAAAAATTAATTCATGTACTTGTAAATGAATATGAGTTATTGCTAGAATAAAGCAATGTTCAAGGGAAATTAACAGCAAATGAAGAGAGTATATGGGTCATGAATAAATTCAAGACTTACAAAATGTGAATTAATGATTGTTGTTAAGTTCATTATTTATAGTAGAATCCTCAACATATTCCAACTAGATTAATATAAAACCAATAAATATATGAACTGCATAAATAATTAAGCACACAAATCGTTGAGTAGGGATAGTGAGCAGATTTTCTCCCAAGGAAAAGATGGATAAGAATTTTTCAGTGTCCAGTAATCTATTGCCAAAGTTTAATAAAAATGTCCCTCTCCTACACCTGAATAAATGCATAAATTAAAGGTATAAATTTGATATGTCAGAAGAAAAAAACAAATTATTTATCTTCTATTTGAAATCGGGCAAAGTAAGCAGTTGAGAGTTCTTTGATTACAGAGATTATGCAAATATAATCATTTTGGATTACCCTTTTAAAATATTGGCTTTGGATCTTTTATTTCTTTTTTTCTTCCATTTTTTATTTTCTTTTTTTTTTTTAACATCTCAGAAGTTTTGTTTACACCCTTGGACAATGTAATGCAATACCATTCAGATGAGTTAAAAGTTTTTGATGTTCTTTATTCTTTGTTTGAAAGTGAGAGAACTGTATTGGGAAAAGACGCGATGTATTGAACTTCAGAAAAATGTAATTTTCACAAAGCAGGAAATATGGAGGCAGATATTTGATTCAATAAATCTGAGAAAATTACATGGATTTGACCTTGCTGGCACTTACTTTTAATTCAAGAACTAAAAGAGTATTTAAATGATATAAGCTTCATACTGTCACAGACCAATTGAACTTTGTAGTTCTGATAAGACCTTATATTGGGTAAACGATATCACCCAAAGTTGTATATATTTCCTTTAGAATCTTGAGGTTAGAGGGAAATGGGACCTATTTATGCTGAATCTGTCTCTGGACAATGACACCTCTCTGCTTCTGATAAAATGATATATCCCTACATCGATCAGTTAGGAAAGAACACTCGTGTTTTAAAAACATATGTGTTGGCAGGGCATAGGTCATGGCATGTTCTCTTCTCCCAGTCATTGCCCATCTGATAAGATTCAGGAGCCAACAGCCATTCCTGAGCAATGGAGTGTGTTGATTAAAATGGCATGCTAGAAATACTATGGAAACAGATTGCAGGCTGCATTGAACAATCAGAGAAATTAAAGTTAGGAAAATAAATAAGGAATTTGTTATCATGGAGCATGTACTTTGACTAAGAGTAGGCGGTGAGAATTAAAAAGATATTGTGAATAAAATGCATTAGAATTAATCATGAGTTGTCTTTGCCAAACAAAGGAAAATGAGGAGGAAAATCCTAAGAGAAAAGACCAAGAAACTACATCTCCTAGAATATACGTAGAAAAAAAGCCAAAAAAAGAATAAGGGGCTAGTGAAAGAGATGAGGGGAAATCACATTTCAACCATATATAAACTCATTAATAAATTCAAGAAATACTTAATAAATGCCTATTTCATACCAGACACATATCTCTAGATAGAAGTTAGAGTCATGTTTAAAAAATAAAATGAAAAATGTCTTACTTTTATTATGCTTACATCATGGTTGAAGGAACAGATAATCATGTATAAGTCAGGTGGTGACGAATGTAGCCACATAGGTGAGATGGTGATAAGAAAATGCAGTATAAATGTTTAAAAAATTAAGACAGTTTCCTTAAACTCTTCAACTTATTTTAAAATAATTTGGTTTAAAACTCTAGAACTGGTTTAAAATTGAGAAAGATCAAAGGCAATTAAGAATTGTAATTTTAAAATAAATTAACATGTAAAATAAGCCTCCTGACAATACTGCTTCAGGCTATGGATGAAGCCCTCCATTATATCTGCTTCTTTGGGCCACTAATCTCAATATTATGTTTTGGAAATTTGTTTATCCTCTTTAGCTTGTTCTAGTGTCCTCAATCATCTTGAGCCTGGTGCCTCAGAGTTTTGATTTGCATATCCTATCTGTGATCCAGACCATCTTCATTTTCCTTTATATCTCGGCTACTGTGAATTTGCCAATCTAAGGAAAAGTCAGGAAACGCAATTCCCTGCAAATTTTTGCCACTTATGCATCTGTAACCTTGGACAAATCCTTTAAACCCTATGAATCTGTTTTATCTACCATAAAAGGGGGATAATAATATGTAACAACAGCTATTGAAATAATTAAATGAGAACCTATATTGTAAAGTGTTTTGTAAACTGCAAAATTCAACGTAAATAACAAATATTGTTATGTTTCACTATATTACCTCACAGTGGCTTGCAAGCTATTTTTAACATTAATGCAATTTTTCTTTTCTTCACCACATCTTCAGTCTCCTGCTTTCTTTTAAATTCCTTAACATTGCACATTATAGGAGATATAGTGATACCTATATCCATAGATATTTTATGTTAACATTTTACTCTAATAACTTCTTTTTAAAACGTCTGCCTTGTAACAGAAAATTTGAAGTTCCTATTCTCTCCTACCAAACTCCTTCTACCTCATAGAGATCCAAAAATCTATTCACAGCCGCAGACCACTCTCCTTGCATGCATATATGATTTCAAATGCTGCTGAACTATAAGTGGCTGACTTTGCAGTCTTATTATTTGTGCAAGTTTTAAGTATCTTCTTCACATTCTTTCCACCAAGAGCACATGGCTTTGCATGGTCTATTCAGGAAATACTCATAATTATTCCACTGAGCTCTAGTGATGATGAATGTGTGTGTTATTGGAGATAAATTGTGCAATCTGCAAGGAAAACAAAGATGAGTTTTTGCTTGGATATTTTCACTCATTTTGTCATGGAGGCAGATGCTTTACCCCACACAGAAGTAAGGTATTGCTTCAGGGAGAGGAATGCTAAGAGCATCACATGATTTGCCACTTCTTTGTGTGTTTCATGGCTGATTAGCATGTCTTCCACAAACTTTTCTGATGTATGGATGTAACTATTTTCCATACAAGGATATAAGAATAAGGTAATGAATGCAAAGTGTTTTTTTTTTTTTTACCAAAAGCAAAAACTAAATTAAGTCTGAAAATTGCATGATATAAAATATAAGTATTTTAATACCTCTTGATTAAATATTAGAGGTTGCTTTCTTTTGTGTTCTGATAAAATACATGTTTAGTCAAAGGCAAGAGCTCAAGTAATAGCAGCTGACAATAAAAGGTTTTTATTTTTTTGTTTGTTTTCACTTGTCTGTGTTTTTTTGTGTTTTTTTAAACTTCTCCTTTGCTGATCATTACCCTCAAAACTAATAGACAAAATCATAAAAGCCTCTTTCTTCTAAGTTTACAGTGGAATGAAATAGTAGAAAATAGTTCCCAGGAAGCTAGAATTACTACTGTCAAAGAAAACCACATGCCCAATTACCAGTCTTTCATATATCTGAACACAAGTAAATATGAAGTGTGACCTGTATTCATTTGTTCATCAGAGCTGAAAATATACTAGGATTTTATTTTCCATGAGAAAATAGTTCTTTATGAGAAAAAGATTGTAACAGCTTTAATGTGGGTTTGCTACTGCCATTGTTGTCCTGCTAAATCTTCATATTTTTCTTTTGAAACAGAAAGAAACCATCACATCACAAAAGCAAGGACAAGCTTTTATACAAGCTTGAGGTCTGACTCAGTAGAATGCTACACCCAGTAACAAAAGGTCTGTGTACACTGGATCTGCAGGTTCATAAGAAGGAAAAAGGAAAAAAATAAGTATGCCATCTCTTTTGAAAATTATTCATTGGATCCAAACAGTGTCTTCATAAACCAAGAATACATTCAGGCACAATGTAATAATGCCTAATCTTCACAACTTGTTTCAGTTTATAAAAAAGACTGCAATCCCATTTTGTTCCTGAAACTTCCAAAATCCATTAAACTACTTTATTTTAATACTCACCAGCCACCCACCTAAATGATGTCAGTTAATCCCAGTTATAATATGCAGGATGGTTTGAGGGGAAGTAGAGAGACAATTTTGAACTAAATGATACTTTATGTTAAAAGCCCAGTATGATTATCTTTTTATAAGAATCCTGAAATAAGACAACAAATAATTTTCCTCAGCAAGCCCCTCTACATATTCCTTTATTTTCCTTTGGGATCTCTTTTGGTAGTTCAAATGAAAGAAAATAGGGTATCTTTGAGGGTGCATGAAGATGATGTAGAGGAAGGAAATAATGATGAGGAAGAAACAGTGACACATCCACAGAGTTATTGGCCTTCGCCAGCCAGCATTCTTTGCCCAGGGATCCTGTGGAGGTGTTCGGGCTATTTCTAGGAACCCTCAGGTGATTCCTTGTGGACTGTTGAAGCCCTGCTCTGATAAAGTAATGGTGGTTGTGAGTCACAGAGATGCCATTGCCAATTCCCTTTCTGGGTTTCATCTTTTACTTTTGACCTTAAAATTAATCCTCAGAGAGCTAATATTAGTATTGACAAATGAAGCATAATGAGCCCTGAAAGAGCAGAGTCACTACCAGTTCATTCATTAAGCGGTTGTGGCCTCTCTTTTAAATTAGAAGATTTTCTTACTTCCTAAAAGAACTCATAGATGATTTAAGTTTTTGTTGGTTTTTTTCTTTGTTTGTTTGCATACACGCAGAAAAAAAAGCCGCCTTCGGCTCTTGGGTGCAGTGTGCTAGAAGATATTTCTTTGAAACCCGGGGACAATGAATACAGACATTTTGTATGGTAGAAGAATCAAAGCGTAAATGTTCCATTAAGAAACCTACAATAAACATTCTGATTCTACTCTTCTATTTATTTTGAAATATACGATAAATTATTGTTAACTATAGTCCCATTATTTTGCTACTGAACACTCAGTATTATTCTTAACACAAAACAATGATAAATGTTTGAGGTGGTGGATATCCCAAGTGCCCTGATTTGACCATGACACTTTACATACCTGTATCAAAATTTCACATATACTCCATAAATAAGTATGATTATTACATATCCATTAAAATTAGAAAAGAAACCTGCAACAAACACTTTTTGTGTGAACAGAAATGTCCCATAATATAGGGGAAAATGTTTGTTCTTTTTATTTTTCACTTATGTATCATTGCTCAGTTTCTCCCAAAATCGATTTAGGTCAATTTGTAAAAAGACCCAAATGGTGTGGAACATTTCATGAGTTCCCTGGAAACAGATTCTGAGATGAATATTCATGTGAAAGTGATATATTAGAATGTGTTCTCAAGATCAAACAAGAGGAAAGAAGGGAGATGGATCTTATAAGGCCCCAAACAGTAAGGCCATATAAGAGAGTTGTGTCAAGCAAAGTCTGTAAGTGTGTACAGCTGTCTATTCCATGTGTATTCAAACTACCTCTGATTCTCTTTCCTAATGGTGTTAAAAAGAGGACATAGTTGTAGATCAATTTGCATACTAAGTGCCAGAGGTCATGTTGATCTTTTCTAGTAAAAACACACATCTGAAACAGCAGTGTGAGTAAATGGCCATAGAATGCTTTGGGGAAAGATCGGAGGAATTGCTGCCATATACATTTGCTCTTGTGTTATAGTGGCCTTCCTAATGCACATTCACCCTCTCCTTTAATGTATGAACTCTGTTTCTTGGAACTACCTAGGGGTTGCTGCCCCTTGTTGGTATTACAGTAATTTTGTGTCCCTTTTCTTTAATGGTTTATTGCTACCACTTAGCCTCTGCTATTCTGAAACCTTATTATAATCATTATCACTAGGGAGCCCAGTTCCATAAATGCAACCTCTGTCATTAACCCTAATATATAAGAACAGCTCACACTGGACATCTTTGCAATGACCATGCCCTCACCATCAAAGTCTTCTTATAACTTTAGTGAAGGTAGTATCCGCTGAGCCTTATTAGAGAAAAAAGACAACTGAGAGAGGAGATTGAGGTTATTGGGTCTTTCATAACTGATTCTTCTAGATTACTCACCTCTCTTATGCCACCTTTATATCCTCTCCACAACACTCTGATAGGGCATTTCTGGCACAACTCCTTCACTTAATATAAGCCATCAGTTTTTCCAAGCTTTGAAAAGTCTAATAGCATATTATGACTAGATCAATAATTTCAATCATAGAGTTGGTGGTTATAGTAGCAGAACTACAAAAAGGGCTAAATTCACAGCCTCAGCAAGTCTTCCATGCAAAAGTCACAGGGAATAAGTAGGACTCTGAGACTTGAAATAGAATGAATCTGGATAGATTCACTGAAGAACATTGAGCCCTCTTGATGGGCTAGAATAACTGGCTGTAGGATAGCATCATTCCTATTTTGAGAATCATGCAAAAGACTCAACTGTGGCAGATGCCTTGCAAGCTGATAATTCCCTTTCTCAAGAGCTGGCATCTGCTCCTCCTGGCTATTAATCTAATAACTAGGTAAAGTTTTGCAAAAGTGAGTTGGAAATGATAGGTCTTGCTAAAGGAATAAAGGAATTATTGTTTGAAAGAGCTATATGTCCTGATATGTGATAGAAAGAATAAGATAATGTCTGAGAATGGCTCTTAAGAGCCATTTAACTTATAGAGGAGTAGGGAAATAGGAAAGTGGGCATGAATGATTGCATTGTCAAACAAAGTTCCACTAGAGTTAAATTGGGCTCAGTCTGAGATAGGACCTGTGGAAACAGTGAGGATTTCATCTCTAAATTGTCTTCTCCTACACTATACCCTTAAGTATTGGCTAAAAGTCTAGGAACATGTAAATTTCCAGGCAAACTTGGTTCTCTGTTGGCCAAGGTAAAGTGGTTTCTAGCAGCCTGACAGAAATGTTTTTTTAAATGAAAACACCATTAGATGATGTTTTTTTTAAATGAAATCACCATTGTGCATTGTGCATAAAAATATAGGAATTCAAGGGTCCATGTGCAAAGCACTGAAGAGCACTGACAGTGTCTGCCACAGAACCATTTTTATTCTGCTTCATGGTTCATGTAGAAAATTACCCTTGCATTCAGAATAAGGTAAATTTCCATTACGTGTTGCAAGGAATGATCACAGGAATAATAAATACACTGTCAATTGGTTCCATAGGTGATATTAATAGTTTTTATCTATTTTCAATAGAATATGAATGTATGTAGTTGTTTTTATGGGTATACATTAAAATTAAGGCACTCCTGATTTAGAAGCAAAGTGTCAGTGGTGATTAGGACAAAAGGTAGATCATGGTATACAAACTTTGCCTTGTAGTAGATTATTGTGTTCTTCAGTGTGAAGCCTTACCATACAATTATGGCCACCTTAATTCTGAGCATTAACCTACTTAGTAACTGACTTTCTGAGAAAACTAGATGAGGAATGAGGGTAGGTAATGCCAGGGGACGTTCCTTCAGGAGAAATTTTAAAAGGTAAATAAATAATTAGAAGAAACAAGGGCCTATAAAATAAAAACTACTTCTTGTTAAATACTCAACAAAATACACATTTAGTAGAAAATTAAAATATTCTTTCAATGAGGTATAAACATTTTTGTAAACTTCCTGAAATTACACCTAATCACTATTCTTTTGATAGACAATATAATAAGCATACATTTTCTAAAATTACATTATAGGTCCATTTATTTTATTTTATTTCCAACTATAAATTTTATTTTGATCAGCTTATTTTAGACATAAAATTAACTTAAACTCATGAAAGGGCAAAAGGAGAAAAATACAAATGGAATAAAAAGTTGTGGTAAAGAGAGGAAAGTTGTTAAATCCATAGGAAAAATAAAATGCTCTAGTTATTATGTAAGTAAGAACAGTTAATTTTAAACAACAAATATTAGTACAGATTAGATCATTGTAAAGCAATTGTATATGTCTCTTCCCTTTGGCCACCTACTTTGACCAAAGAAATGTGGACAGAGGAAACATTCTACTATTTCTGAACCAGGGCTTTAAGAGATGATGTATGTCTCCATTCACTCTCTTGTGCTCCTGCCATTTGCCTTCAGAAGAACATGTACCTGGTAGCTTCTGGTCCAAAGAAAGTGAAGAGACACAGAGAACAGACCAAAATATCTTTCAACAAGCTCAGCTGAGTCTTAGGCTGAGGCATATCTGCCTCAACTGAGATACAGACAATCCCAGCACTTTGGGAGCCGAGACGGGCAGATCACGAGGTCAGGAGATCGAGACCATCCTGGCTAACACGGTGAAACCCCGTCTCTACTAAAAAGACAAAAAATTAGCCAGGCATGTTGGTGGGCACCTGTAGTCCCAGCTACTCAGGAGGCTGAGGCAGGAGAATTGTGTGAACCCAGGAGGCGGAGCTTGCAGTGAGCTGAGATCATGCCACTGCACTCCAGCCTGGGGGACACAGCGAGACTCCGTCTCAAAAAAAAAAAAAAAATTAAATGAAGATTGTGACAAGCCAATAAGATTTACATTGGTTTCCCATCTCAACAGAAGACTAATATAATAAATGATTCCCTAAGTCTGGATATTCTATCTTATTTACATCCCAATATGTATTGTAACACTACAAAAATACATAAAGTCTTTCTAGGAGAGGCATTAGTACCTCAAAAGGAAATCTATTAGTGTCAGAAAAATTGGAGTCTCAGTGAAAATAACCCATTGTTTTCCAGTTCTGTCTTATAAGAACCCAAATAATTACTGGTTTTGAACAACATTTTATATCTCTGGACCCTAAATGAAATACTAGAGAAGATGATCTCTAAAATCTCATTAATTGCAATATTTTGTGATTATTTGCTTTATGGCCTTGATAAGATCTGCTATCTGCCTGTGTGACTGATACAAAGTCTAAGCTCCAAGGCAGGATGCAAACTACAAGAACTCCAATCCCTTTTCCATCTATGTCATTACCTCAATTTCAGTTTAGCTAATCATAAGTGTGTGTATATATATATCAACGACTCAGTGGTGATTGGCCTCATGCTGAAGACAAGATTGCAATTCAGCAGAATAACACAGGCAAGTTGGCAAGAGTGAGCAAGTTGCCACTCGATACAAATGTGATGAGATGTACGGGTAAGTTATGAAAATTGGTTCTGCTGACATCTGCAGAAGAAATCATATTAAGGATAGGTGATGCTGAACATGGCACTATGCTAACAGAATTTCTGGTGTACTTTCAATTCCTCTGGGGAGTAGACCTGACTAAATATGTTTGAGATTAAGTGCAAAGATAAACTGTACGTGATTGTGAAGGGCTGTTCTATACTCTGAACACCCTGTGAATAACCTGCTCCCCAACTCTGTCACCAACAGAATTCAATTTTTATGTTCCTTTTCCCCCTTCAACTAGGGTATGGCTTGAAGGGTGTCGGAAAGCCTCTTTCTCAAACTATCTCTCTCAGTAGCTAATAAAATATCTCACACGACACCATTAGTTTATTTCTCAACGTTTTCTGGACAGATGGCATATTGTATCATTTTGTAGCTTTTGGTGTATTAGTGGAGAAAGGAGTGCGTATTCTCAACATATAGCATATTAGTGAGGATTTTCTTCTTTTATTTTTGTCCCCAAAAATATGGTGGTGCCCTGCTGACTATTAAATAAACTAAAATTATTCTAGCTTCCCTTAATCTAAGTTTAACTCCACTTTTCCAGTTTATATCCCATCACCTTCCATATCCAACCATCTTCCTATATTTATTAATTCTTGATTTGAGTCAGACATAGACATGAGATTACAATTTACATTCTAAAATACATATATTCTTCTTTTACATAGAGAGGTTTGCTCAAATGATTCACTTACAGTAGAGCATGTTAGGCAGTATTAATTATTATCAAGAAAAATAAACCCCAAAAGGGAAAAAGAAAGTGAAGGGTTATATTTATTAGAGTGATAAGAGAAAAATATTGGAGTAAATGGTGTTTGAGTAAAAAATTGAGATTTGTGAAGTAGTGAGTCGTATGTTTATTCTGGAGTACATTCCAGGCAGAATTAGCTCAAATTGGAAAGGCTCTGAGGTGAGAACCAGCCTTCTGTGTTTACAGTTTGAGATGGAGTGGTCACAAGGGAGAAAGTTTGGAGATCAGGTCAGAGAGATGATGGACCAGATAACAAAGGACCTTGAAGGACATTGTAAATAACTTACTTTTGCTCCAAAGGAGATGGGAAACCTTGGAGAGTTTTAAACCAGAGAAGGATGTAATCTGATTCAAATTATAACAAGATCGTTCTGGCCATTGTGCTAGTAATTGACCTACAAGGGAAAGGGCAGATGGCAGAGAAGTTGGGAGGATATTGCTATAATCCAAGTGAGAGATAATGGTGGCATGGAGAGCAGAGTTATTGATAACTGGTCTTATTGTGCATAGACTTTGAAGCTAAACCCAAAAGTTTTCTGTCGTACTAGATATAATTTGTAAATAAAGAGAATAGTGAAGGACGAGAACTTGGCCTAAACAACCTGAACAAAGTTTCCATTAACTAACATGAAGACAATAAGTACAATAGGCAGGGAGGGAGATATCTGGTGCTCAGTTTTGAATAAGTTACATTTGAGATGCCTATTATATCCTCCATATTAAAGTGTAGAATAAGGGTGAAATGAAAGACTATAATTCAGCATAGAAATCTAGGCTACAGCTATGAATTTGTGAGCTGTGACTTCATAAATGACATTCAAAGCCATAGATTGAATGAGATCACCAAAAGAATGACTATATGGGTGAAGCAAAAAGTGTTGACATAAAGACAAAGCTGATGACAAATCAACAAGATTAGGAATAATTAATTACTGCTTAATTTAACAACATGGAAATCGTCAGTAACATTATTAAACAGTTTTGATGCAGTAGTGGGGTCCAAGTCTGATTTTAGTAGGTTGAAAATTAGAGGATTGAGTCTAGAGAAGGCAAGTACACATAAAATATTCCAGGAGTTCTGCTGGAAAAGAAATACATGGACTAAGGAGATTTGAGATGAGGAAAGGAGATGTGTTTTGTTTTTATTTTTCTTAAAGATGGGGCAAATAGTGTATTTTCATACTAAATTAGGATTATTCATTATAGAGGTAAAAGTTGATAATGCAGGAGAGAGAGGAAAGAATTAAAGGAACAATGTCTTCAAGAGGAGAAAATACATAGGGTCTTGTAAATAAGTGAAGAGTTTGGCCATGACTGGGACTGCAAACATTTAATTCATAGTAATGAAAAAAAGCAGAATTTACAAGATGAAATTGAGGTACACAGGTAGATGTGGTAGTTCTTGTAGCATGTGGGAAATAACTTCTCTGTTTTCTCAATACAAGGGCAAACATATTTCTATAAGGGCTAGTGGTAATTTGAGATCTGAGGCATGAGTAGGGCATATGCAGTAAGAGGAGAAAGAAAGTAAATCAAATGTAGTCTAATGCTTGGTAGCATTAATGGTCCATGTGGCATGACTGCTCATGAATTTAGAGTCAGGTCAATCAGTATTGCTGTATGTTCCCACCCTCTTATTTCAGAATAATTTTGGTTTTTCCAAGCAAGTACAAGAAAATGGGAGAGAGAAAAGTAAACAATAGAATAGAGGAGTATGATTATAATGAATAACCATGAAATTTAAGCTGGAATAGTAAGGTAAATTAAGAACTGGAGGGAAGGAAGGATAATGATAGGAACCATGATAGGTAGGGCTTAGAGAAAGAGAAGGATTGCTGTTCTGGGATTTCAAAAGGGCATGAGATTAAAAAATTGCAGCTGCTAGATGAAGAGTGGAAAACATAAATTCAAACTATGAAGAGCTTGCAATTACTGGAAGTGATTATATTTAAGGAGTGACCAAGGAATAATTAGCTGAGCGAAGGTGAAGAAGATGCTTTTTGGAGAAGAGAGTTGAAAGAGTGAGGGCCTGGCATATCAGAAATGTCACTTTGTAGATATTAATCACTAAGAATTACAACAGCAATTTGAAAGAAGAGAGAGACAGTGACCAGGAGCAAAGAAATCGGGGGGAGTGACTTTGGACTTAAGATCTTAATACAACAAAGCAGAGTAGTTTCAGAATAGTCTGATGACATGAAAAAAGCTGGGTATAGATAGAAAAGAGCAAAAGGATGGTGGGAAGGAAGCAATAAAGAAAACAGGAAGGGGATTCACCTGCCTCCAGGCCAAAGGGTGCAAGATAGAAGAAGAAAACTATCTCTTTTTGAGAGGACTCTAGAGAAAGCAGTGTCCATTGGGAAGAGTCAGGTCTCCCATAAAAGAAATAGGGTAAAGGGATCATACAGAGAGGAGGTGGTACATAGGAGGGGTTTTATTGATAAATGACAGTGATTTCCAGAAAATAAGAAGTAGAGCTTCATGAGTTGTGAAGAGATAGAGGAAAGGGTCATAAAAGGGATACAGGGAGTCAAATGGGCATTAAAGTCCCCATAGACAATGGAGTGACTGGGAAGATCTTGGTTTGTTCATATTTATATTCACCATAAAATAAGTCTTAATATTTTGTAGTAATTTGTAATAATAGAGGTATCAGATACTTTTCCCTTAGTCTTTCCCTTTATTTTATTTTTTAAAGAACCTGAAACCCATCAATTTTAACATACATATCATTCTGGTGGAGGATGTTAATAATAGGAGAGGCTATGCATGTGTGGGGCAGGCTATATTTGGGAAATCTCTGTACATTTTACTCAATATTGCTATGAGCTGAACTTCTCTAAAAACTTTTTGCATTAAAAATAAAAAGAACCTGAAGCCCAGAGAGAGATGCAATGCCTTGTTTGGCATTTTTCAGGTGCAAATCAATGAAACAGTGTGTCTTTTATGGGAAAATTCCTCTTACCACCATTCATGTAACCAAAATTAATTGGTGGCATGTAATTATCATAGAAATATATTTGTCCCCACTTATGTTGATCACACCCCTTCTTGTATTACAGTTATTGATGCTATATTTTACATGACAGAGGATAAGTTTATTGATAAGAGAATTATACCTATTTTATCTCTGAAAGATTATGGCATTTGATCAAATGTCTTGTTAATTCTTTCAAGAGATGCATTTTTTTCTTTATTTCTTCTAAAAAACCCCCACAAAAAACAAAAACACGATACATATGCAGAACATGCAGGTTTGTTACATAGGTATACGTGTGCCATGGTGGTTTGCTGCAGCTATTGACCCATCCTCTAAGTTCCCTCACCTCACCCCCCACCCCACAACAAGCCCTGGTGTGTGGTGTTCCCCTCTCTGTGTCCACATGTTCTCAATGTTTAACTCCCACTTATGAGTGAGAATATGTGGTGTTTGGTTTTCTGTTTCTGTATTAGTTTGCTGAGGATGATGGCTTCCAGCTTCATCCATGTCCCTCAAAATACATGATCTCATTCTTTTTATGGCTGCATAGTATTCCATGGTGTATATGTACCACATTTTCTTTATCCAATCTATCATTTATGGGCATTTGGATTGTTTCCATGTCTTTGCTATTGTAAATAGTGCTGCAATAAACATATGTGGGCATGTGTCTTTAGAGTAGAATGATTTATATTCCTTTGGATATATGCCCAGTAATGGGATTACTGGGTCAAATGGTATTTCTGGTTCTAGATCCTTGAGAAATTGCCCTACTGTCTTCCACAATAGTTGAACTAATTTACATTCCAGTCAACAGTGTAAAAGCATTCCTATTTCTCCACAGCCTTGCCAGCAATCTATTATCTCCTGACATTTTAATAATTGCCATTCTGACTGGCATGAGATGATATCTCATTGTGTCTTTGATTTGCATTTCTCTGATGATCAGTAATGTTGAGATTTTTTTTCATATGTTTGTTTGCCGCATAAATGTCTTCTTTTGAGAAGTGTCTGTTCTTACTGTTCTTATCCTTTGCCTACTTTTTGATGGGGTTGTTTTGATGGGGTTGTTTTTTTCTTGTAAATTTGTTAAAGTTCCTTGTAAATTCTGGATATTAGACCTTTGTCAGATGGGTAGATGGCAAAATTTTCCCTCATTCTGTAGCTTTACTATTCACTCTGATGATAGTTTCTTTTGCAGTGCAGAAGCACTTTATTTTAATTAAATCCCATTTGTCAATTTTGGCTTTTGTTGCAATAGCTTTTGAAATTTTTGTTATGAAGTCTTTGCCCATGCCTATGTCCTGAATGGTACTGCCTAGGTTTTCTTCTAGAGTTTTTATGGTTTGGGGTTTTACCTATAAGTCTTTAATCCATCTGGAGTTAATTTTTGTATAAGATATAAGGAAGGATCCAGTTTCAGTTTTCTGCATTTGGCTACCCAGTTTTCCCAGCACCATTTATTAAATAGGGAATCCTTTCCCCATTGCTTGTTTTTGTCAGGGTTGTCAATCAGATGATGGTAGATGTATGGTGTTATTGCTGAGGTCTCTGTTCTACTCCATTGGTCTATATCTGTTTTGGTGCCAGTATCATGCTGTTTTGGTTACTGTAGCCTTGTTGTATAGTTTGAAGTCAGGTAGTGTGATGCCTACAGCTTTGTTTTCTCTGCTTAAGTTTCTCTTGGCTATACTGGGTCTTCTTTGGTTCCATATGAAATTTATAATAGTTTTTTTCTAATTCTGTGAAGAATGTCAATTAGTTTTATGGGAATAGTGTTGAATCTATAAATTACTTTGGGCAGTATGGCCAATTTGATGATATTGATTCTTCCTATCCATGAAGATGGAAAGTTTTTCCATTTGTTTGTATCCTCTCTTATTTCTTTGAACAGTGGTTTGTAGTTCTCCTTGAAGAGTTCCTTCACATCCCTTGTTTGCTGTATTTCTAGGTATTTTATTATTTTTGTAATGATTGTGAATGGGAGTTCATTCATGATTTTGATCTCCTCTTGCCTATTGTTGGTGTAAAGGAATGCTTGTGGTTTTTGCACATTGATTTTGTATCCTGAGAGTTTACTGAAGTTGCATCAGTTTAAGGAGTTTGGGGGCTGAGATGATGGGGTTTTCTAAATGTAAAATTATGTCATCTGCAAACAGAGACAACTTGACTTCCTCTCTTTTCTGTCTCATTGATCTAATACTGGACAGTGGGTGTTAAAGTCTCCCACTATTATTTTGTGTGAGTTTAAGTCTCTTTGTACGCCTCTACGAACTTGTTTTATGAATCTGTGTCCTGCTGTATTGGGTACATACATATTTAGAACAGTTAGCTCTTCTTATTAAATTGTTCCCTTTACTATTATTATTAATGTTCTTCTTTGGTTTTTTTGGTCTTTGTTGTTTTAAAGTCTGTTTTGTCAGAGACTAAGATTGCAACCCCTGCTTTTTGTTTTGTTTTGTTTTCCATTTGCTTGGTAAATTTTCCTCCATCCTTTTAGTTTGAGCCTGTGTGTGTCTTTGCATGTAAGATAGGCCTCCTAAATACAACACACTGATGGGTTTTGACTCCTTATCCAGTTTACTAGTTTGTGTCTTTTAATTGGGGCATTTAGCTCATTTACATTAAAAGTTTGTATCATTATGTGTGAATTTGATCCTGTCATCATGATGCTATTTTGTAATTTTGTACACTAGTTGATGCAGTTTCTTCAGAGTGTCATTGGTCTTTAAATTTTGATGTGTTTTTGTAGTGGCTAGTACCAGTTTTTCCTTTCCATATTTAGTACTTCTTTCAGGAGTTCTTACAGGGCAGGCCTGGTGGTAATGAAATCCCTCAGCATTTGCTTGTCTGAAGAGGATTTTATTTCTCCTTCACTTATGAAGCTTAGTTTGGCTGGATATAAAACTCTGGGTTGAAAATTCTTTTTTTAAGAATGTTGAATATTGACTTTCTTTTTTTTAAGAATGTTGAATATTGATCTTCTGGCTTGTAGAGTTTCTGTTGAGAGATCTGCTGTTATTCTGATGGGCTTCCCTTTGTAGGTGACCTGGCCTTCCTCTGTGGCTACCCTTAACAGGTTTTCCTTCATTTTGACCTTGGAGAATCTGATGATATGTGTCTTGGGGTTGATCTTGCCATGGAGTATCTTAATGGTGTTCTCTGTATTTCCTGAATTTGCATGATAGCCTGTCTTGCTAGGTTGAAGAAGTTCTCCTGAATAATATCCTGTAGTGTGTTTTCCAGCTTGTTTCCATTTTCTCCATCTTCTTCTGGTACACCAATCAATCAGAGGTTCGATCTTTTTATGAAGTCCCATATTTCTCAGAAGCTTTGTTTATTCCTTTTCATTCATTCTTCTCTATTCCTGCCTGCATGTCTTATTTCAGTAGGGTGGTCTTCAAACCCTGATATCCTTACTTCTACTTGGTTGATTTGGCTGTTGATAATTGTGTATGCTTCATGAAGTTCTCTTGCTGTGATTTTCAGCTCCATCAGGTCTTTTATGTTCTTCTCTAAACTGATTATTCTAGTTAGCAATTCCTCTAACCTTTTATCAAGGTTTTTAGCTTCCTTGTATTGGTTAGAACATGCTCCTTTAGCTCATCATAGCTTTTTATTACCCATCTTCTGAAGCCTACTTCTATCAATTCGTCCAGCTGATTCTCCATCCAGTTCTGTACCCTTGATGGAGAGACATTGCAATCATTTGAAGGAGGAGTGGTACTCTGGCCTTTTGTGTTTTCAGCATTTTTTCATGGAATCTTTCTCATCTTCGTGAGTTTGTCTAGTTTTGACCTTTGAAGCTGCAGACCCTTAGATGGCATTTTTGTGGGGGCCTTTTTGCTGTTGTTGTTGATGCTATTGTTGTCACTTTCTGCTTGTTTTTCTTTCAATAGTGAGGTCCTTCTTCTGTAGGGCTGCTGTAGTTTGCTGGGGGTTCACTTCAAACCCTATTTATGTGATTTGCTCCTGGGCCTGGAGATGTCACTTAAGGAGGCTGGAGAGCAGTAAAGATGTGTGCCTGCTCCTTCTTCTGGGACCTCTGACTTTGAGGGACACAAACCTGATGCCAGGAGGATTGCTCCTGTATGTGGTGTCTGACAACCCCTGTTGGAGCTTCTTACCCAGTTGTTTGGCATGGGGAGCAGGACCCATTTAACAAAGCACTTTGTCCCTTGGTGGAGACAGTGTGTTTTGCTTGGGGGAAACCCACTCCCCTGGGTTGCCTGGATTCCTCAAAACTACCGGGAGAGGATAAGTCTGCTGGTCCACAGAGACTGTGGCCACCCCTCCCCCTAGTGGCTCAAGCCTAGGGAGATCCGAATTCTGTCCTGATCCTCTGGCTGGAGTTTTGGAGATCCTGCAGGGAAGCCCCACCCACTGAAGAAGGATGGGTCGGGGTTAGTCCTGAAGAGGCACTCCGACCATAGACAGCCACAGCAGGTGTATTAGGCTGTGGGGACAAGTCTTGGGACCAAGGCATCCAGCTTCCCTGTCTCCAGCAGGGGAAAAGCTCAGCCTGGAGCTATAGAAAAGGGTGCCACCCTTCCCCTGCTCAGGGAGATTAGCATTTCAGGCAATTGGGAGTCCCAGTGTTGGCTGTTGCCCCTCCCCCAAGGAGCTCAAATGGCTTAGACAGCAGGTAGCCGCAGCCAGTGCTGGTCACCCCTCCCACAAGGAGTTTGGTAGGTTTAAGCAGATTCCAGATGAGAGGCTGTAAGAATCTGTACGTTCTGGGGTTGAAAATTTAGGTCCCGGTGGCATGGGTTTGCGAGTGGGTTCTTCCAATCCGTGTGTTGCACAGTTCTGTGGAAAAAACACTGTTTCCCTGGATGGGTAGCCTGCTCACTCACCGCCTACTTTGGCTGGGGTAGGGGGTTCCCCTTCCCTGTGTGGCTCTCAGATGGGCCACTGCACCACACTGTTCTTCCTTCTCTCCGTGGGTCACGCCAGCCTTCTAGTCAATTTTGATGAGAGAACCTAGATACCCTGGTTGCTGGTGAAGTATTCACTTTCTTATTATGGTTTTTTTCAATGGGAGCCTCCAATTGCCACTGCTTTTAGTCTGCCATCTTAGATGCATGTTTACTGAATGTGATTATTTACGTACCAATGGACAACACGTTAAGGAAAAGAGTATGTATATTTTGATGTAAAAATATTTGAGGTAAATACACATACAAAGTACTGAAAAGGCAAGTCAGTGGGAAAGCAGAGGTGACCTCACTGGGACTTTGTGAAATCAATAGATAAATAAAACCATATGTTACTAAGAAACAGAAAGTATGAATGCATTGTGAAGCAAAAAGAAATAGAATAGGACAAAATATTAGGAAAAGGATGTCACAAAAACCCCTTGACTTTCACCAAAATTTTGTCCTGTTCTCCAGAGGAATCAACTTTCCCTAAACCCCTAGACCTGTAAGATGAAGATGTGTACACTGAATGAAGCTCTATTGAGACTGATTTAGTAATTCATGATGTTCTATTTTAAGAATGAAACATATAGCCTCTATTTTTGCTGGCATTGCTTGCATAGAGAAACATTAGATATTTCTTTTCTATACATATTCATGTAATATGTTATAATTAATATAATCTATAACTATCAAAGCAGAATAGATATTAAAAATCACACTTACTGTGAAATATGTGTATTTCATACAGTCACTATAAACCCTGGGTAAAAGTGTGCATGTGTATGCATTCATACATACACATGTGTGTGTGTATGTGTATGCATGTGTAAGGAAATACATCCAATAATAAAAATGGTTTTCTCTGGGTGGGAAAATTATAAATGACTTTTTATCCTTTTCTTTTTTTAGGTAAGAGGCAGAAAACTTTTGAATTTACCTCGATAAATTTATTCTTCCTACTAAAATCAGGGAAACGAGCTATAAAATTAACATATAATAGCAACTTTAGTTTTTACAGACAAGATATTTGTTCTCATGTAGTCAGTTCTGTAGGATATGACACAATTTAGAGTTAATTGATGTTTTCTAATCTCATGTTTGATTATGAGGATAATATGTAGTTGAAAAGATCACTGTTGAATTATGTAATTTGCTTGTTTACAAATAGGTGTTTTAATTAGTGATGAATGTGAGGAGATTTTACATTATTTTCTAACAAAAGTATTTCCAGTATATGAGAGGAGCTATGTAAGTTAAAAAAGATATGAATAAGACAACACTTAGAAACTCCCTAACACATTCTGTAAATCATAGAAATGTGGAAACTAGATATGACTTGCAAGATGGACAGTGAGGAAAAGGCAGGATTTGTTGGAATACTCAGATTTTCCTTTCCTTTTAATCTTTCCCTTTAAATATTAATGTACCTAAAGAACATCTCCCAGTGAAAGAAGAGTTAGCTAAGGTCAGATTTTTATAAAAAAGATGGTAGAGGCCAGTCAGAGTGTCCAAGATGAATAAGATTTTATCATACAAAGACCTTTTCTCCCTATAGCAATATGAAAATTTCTTTTCTAGTTCTTTGGTGACATGAAAATTCTAACTACATTGCTTAAAGAATGGAACAAAAGAGACTAAAGTTTAATTATACTGTTTTATTTTCCTTGCAGCTGTCTCCCATTAGCTAGTGAGCAGTGGGGAAAGTTCTTTGCAATCTTTCACCCTCCTACCAATATAGTCCTGTGCAAACTGGTAATTATAATCAATTATAGGCCACAGAGTGGTGAAAAAGACACTTTTTTTTCTCCTGCAGACGCCTATGAGAAACTATTCAATTTTAGGGTCTGAAGCTACCAAAAAGTTCAAGATACAGGGTTGTCTTTAATATAGTAATACACCATTAAGAATTGTGATATTTCCGAACTCAATCTCACCATCAGAGGTTGATTTTTGTGGGTAGAAACATTTTCACGTGTTCTTGGGCATCAGAAGCATGCAAGCCTTGGCTCCCGTTTGAAAGTTCCATGACAATGACAATTGGAAGACCAGGTAAAATTTAACAGACATTATTTAATGAAGTTAACGTATTAACACATTCAATTCTCATAAGAAACGTATAAAGTAGGTACCACTATTTACCCTCTTTAATATATGAGGAAACTGACACAAAGAAAAGAATATTTCCTCAGGGTTGCACCGTTAGGAAGCACTAGCTCAAGGAATTGCACTCAAGTCCTCTAGCTTAGAGTTCATCCTCTTATCCAAGAGCCTCTACTGCCTCATTGCCTGTGGGGAACTTTATGGAACTATAAAACATTCAGGGAATAGGGCCATAGTAAAAAGGAGTATAAACAGGTAGAGATAGCACTTACTACACTACTGAACAGCCCATTGGGATCAATAATTTCTTATTGACTGCCTCTTCTCTCATTTAGCTTTAAAAGGAATGTGGCTTTCCACGGAGAATGTTGTGATTTATCAGATTCTCATCACATATCCACTGCAATGTGATAGAGAAAAGGTGATTGGCTTAGCCCCTACTGTTTAGTTCTAAGTGCCGAAATATTTTATCTTTCATTGTATCTCTGGTCAATGCAGCACTAAACAGATTGTGGAGTTTTGAGTGAAATATGAAGGAAAGAGACCTAAGTAGATGCTTTTGGGCACATTCCCCCAATTTTCTGGGACCAACAGGGGGCATAAAAGACCTGTTAAACAATTGAGGATACTTAGAATATGCTAAGCTAACAAAAGCTTACACACCTTCCACACAAAACATGCCTCATAAATTTGCAGAACCAAATGCAAAATGAAATTTTAAGACCTATTTTTCAAAAAGTTTATAGAATTTCAAGATAGTGAAAGCAAAGCATCAAAGTAAACATAGGGCCCTTCTGAAAACGGGGCTTTGTACAGGTTGCACATCCATGAAACTAGTCTGATTCCCCTCAATATCTCAATGGTAGCTTTCATTATGTGGAGTGGCAGACCAGCCTTTCTCACTCAACTCTAATGCAACTTTTCGTCAGGTCCTGTTGGTTCCTGCATTCTAATAACACAAGATTCAGCCTTCTTTCTGTGAAAGTGATATTTCTAAAACTGAGATCACAGAAATGTTCTTCATCCCATCCAAAAATTCTGCACACCAAGCTAGACTTCGTTCCTATTGGGAGTATATGGATGAAATGGGCTAGCAGCCCATTCCTTCTCTACTCTCAGGCCCAACCTGTACAGGAGGTGCTGAAAGAGAGGATAATCCAACCCTTAGCTGATCCACCTTCTTACTTTTCCCTTGGCTTCATAAAAATGTGTTTTCCAAATACTGTGTAGAAAAATTGTGTTCATTATCCCTTTCTTCACGAAAGACTGAAGGATTAAGATAGCTCTATCTGTGATCTTTCATTCTTCCACTTTGCCAGAAACCAGAAAGAAACTCTGTAAAGGTCAGTTCTAGGAAATGCATTGTAAAAGGGAGAAAATTGTATAATCATTTAATATATCTTCATTTTAATCTCTTCTCTGTTTTGCTGTAAAAAGAGAGCTTTCCTGTTTTCTTTCTTAGGGCTGTCTATTTCTTAGTCACCTTTTTTATTCTTTTCTCTATTTCTTTTTGACAGCACTTCTGTAGAAAGTTTATCTTTTATTAGCTTTTAGGCCTCCAGTCATCATGCACTGTCAGGATCCTTTGGGGCATGTTGAGCTTTTATTCCAGTGTTGTCTTTCGCTCCTGAAGCCTTATCGCTATCATTTCTTTGAAAGGCTGACCCAGTTTAATATCTGAAGGTTAGTCTCTGATAGAACCTTTTAATCACATCAGCAGGGAACTCAACGGTTAGTGTTACTATTCAAGTCTCATATTTATGGGTTTAATTAGCATGGTTAGATATACAGCCGAGAAACTTTGGCCATTGAAGAGTATTTATTGATAATTATTTAAATTCTTGCATCCTTTGTAGTAACCTACCTGAATATGCTTATAATTAAATAACTAAACTGCTGCTAAAACAACTTTTAAAAATCCACCTTTGATTATTTGTACGTATATATTATATATATATAAAGAATATAAATATATATATGTATAGACATTGTTATAGCAATTTTTCCACAACTTCATACCTGATTTCTACTGAGGAACTAAGCATCAGGAGCGTGTTGTATATTTTCCTTAGTAAATGGGTGCCACTTCCATAAGAAAATGCATTGAAAAGTCCTACTAAGATTTCTCTCCCAGAAATATTATTGTGTGCTTCATGCAGAATTTAAAAATTATTTAAACAATTAAATAAATAACTCAAATTAAACATTTATGTTATTACCCTGAGGGCAGCGTTAGTTTTTGAGGCTTATTAGCAGGGGAACACACAAACCTGGAAAGATATAAAAAAGGTTTATTTTCTTTGTTGGCCTCCAACTAATTGCAGTAAAATAAACTTAGTGTTTTTGCCAGCTTGAACTCTCATGGAAGAGTAAGCAATCCAAACTCTAGTCTCTTGATGTGGTCACATATCTATTGCCAAGTTTCTTTTTAAAGTTCCCCAAACAAACATGTATGCCAATTAAGCAATATAAATAAGGGAGAAACTTGTTGTGCCCTCGTGCCATTTTCTCATTAATTCTAGGAGATGACCCCAAGACTTCTTCCCATTTTTATCCAAAAGATTAAATGGCATCTTATCCCAAACGCCTCAGGTAAACACGCCAGGTTTACTTTCATCTTGGACTCTATACTCTTTGAATGAAGATGAGACCAAACAGTGCCCTTTGAGGTGGAAGATACCTTTCTTCATAATGTCATCCATTAGAGAAAGGTTTCAGAAAAGGTCAACTTTACCCCAGTGAAAAAGAAAATGCTGGCAATTCATGTAAAGCCACTTCTTTCTTCTTAGAAGTTCCCTCATTTCCAAATTTGTTGCAATAATCTTCTCAACAAAAAGGTATGAAATACCAAGTAATAGTATAGAGATTATATTCACAATAAAATGCCATGAAATAAAATGTATTTCATTTACGTTTAGAAGTATGAAGGAGAGCATTAAACAGAGTAGCGATAAAGGCCTCCCACCCATCCAGTCTATATCAGTCCAAATTCAGGCCATAAATAGCACACTTAAAGTATTAATTGAAGAGGATGCAATGAAAGAACTATTTACCAAGGTGTAACCAAGAATAAGAGAATCGATAAGATACAATGAAGCACACAGTGACTAAGAACAGTGAGAAACCATGAGTACCTCTAGATTCATAAGGGTAAGAAGATGGAATAGTGTAACCAGAGCTAAACAAAAGCTGTAGCCAAAAGAAAGAGGTCAGATGATAAGAGCTCTGACTGCAAGGAAAGAAACACAATCACTGTCAAACCATAAGCAGCAGACAGGTGGGGGGATAATAAGAACCCAGATGTTCTTTCCTCTCTTCCTGGGATCTGCTAATTGTACCTTCCCTCGACCAGACCAAAGGAGAAGCAAGAATGAAAGGTAGCATTAGAGATTAGTATTTATGGCCTCAAAAGAAGGCATAGACGGATAGAAAATTGATCTGTAAGAAAATGGAGCAAAACCAGTACACACACACACACACACACATTATAATATATCTTCTTTGAGACTGGACCTTGTATCTTAACACACATATCTTTTCCCCCCATATCCTTGACACTTTTCCAATAGAAGCTTAGAAACCGAGGTCTGCCAATATGAAAACAGTTTGGATTAAAAAAACATTGATGGAAACAGACATTAAAAGTTTAAGCTGTTCTCTCCACTTAAATAAAATCATTATGTTAATAATTACATTATTTTTCCCCTTCATATTGCTGCTATTGAGATGTCCTTTGATAATTATACAGAGACAGTGCCATTTTGATTTTAGCCCTCTGGCACATTAATTATATATTCTTACTTCTTAGAAATACTGACAGAAGTTGGCCCCATACCAAAGAACCAGCCTGGGACTTTTACTTGTATTCACTTCGTAATTCCTTGCTATGACACTCATAAAAATGAGCAATTCAACAGATATTTTGTCTTTGTATCCTTGAGTGTTACAGTATAAAATAATAAACAACTGCACAGATCCCTATGTAGGACAATCCTACACTGTACAGATCTAAACATAAAAAAAAACCCACATTCCTCTCAGATATATCATTTCACCTTTATTTTCACCTTTAGAGCATTTCACGTTTATTTATTTTCAATAAGTTTATTGCTGTCTACAGAACATATAACTGTGTTGCTGGAAATAGGAATGCAATGTATAATTTCTGTTCTCAAGTTAATTAAAATTATGATAGAATCAAGACAATTGAGTAATCAATATAACACAAAATAACAAACCCTAAAATAGGAACAAAACTCACATTTTTGAGTTCTTATATATCTCACCAGGTCTCTAAGTGATGCTTATTTAGCATGCATTCCTTTGAAAAAACATCATATCAATATGCTCTATGGCCTTAGTAAAGAACAATCTCCATGTACAAAAGAAGTAAAATCAAATTGTTAAACCAACTGATAATGCATTGATAAATCAGCTCAGGCTTACAAGGTAAGATATAGAGGAAGAAAGACAATGAGAGGTGCAGCAATCCAGAATCCTCTTTCTCTAGGATTGATAAATATTGGTACTACTGTTCAAATGTCAGTTTGAGATTGATCTGCAGTGATTTTTTATATTGATCATTATCTCACATAGAATATGTCTGCTACATGAAACAACAAAAAAAATTAACCTTTTTTATTTGTACCTCAACTCCTGACTAATCCAGAATAGCTTTAACATACAGTTTTTTTTAAAAAAAAATTGTTTCCAGAATGTAGTACATTACAATCAGTGATTTTAATTTTATGATTTTATTTATTATACAGTAAAAATTGAATCTTTTTTGACACAATTCCAAAATCAGGACACCGAATGGCACTATAACCCCCAAAAATGACCTATATTAGCCATTTATGGTCACAATCTTCCCTTCCTCCTTTACCCGCTGATATGTTCCCCATCAATATAATTTTATATATTCTAGAGTGTCATATAAATCAAATTAAATCAAATCACACATGGTATAGACATTTGAGACTGACTTTTTTCAATTAGCATAATGCCTTTGAGATTCATCCAAGTTGTTGCATGTGTCAGTAGTTAATTGGAGGGTGTTTTGGGTTATTGCTGTCATTGTTGTTTTTAATTGCTGAGTTGTGTTCTTTTGTATAGATGCACCACATTTGGTTTATTCATTCACCCTTTGAACGAGACATTTTGGTTGTTTCCAGTTCAGTGCAATTATGGATGGAGCCACTATATACTTTTAGGGACAGTTTTTGGGTAAACTTAAGTTTGTATTCTTCTAGAGTAAATAGCTAGAAGTGGTATTGCTGGGTCATATAGTAAATTACACTTAAGTTACTGCCAAACTTTTTCCAGAGTGACTGTACCATTTTGCATTCTAATCATAAACATAGGATAAATCTGTTTGTTCAGCATCATCTCTAGTATTTAGTATGGCTAGAATGTTTAAATTTTATCCTTTCTAATAGATTTGGTTTTAATTTACATTTCCTAATGAATAATGATGTTGTATAGAAATGTTGTTAGGTCTTTAAATGGTTGGTTGATTTTTGTCCATGAAATAATTTAGGCTGGTGATTTCTTTTCAGGAAGATTTTACAATTAAATTTCCATAATAATTATAGAATTTCTCTTTTATTCTGGTGAGTTTTGATTGGTTGTGCTTTAGAAGGAATGGGTTTAGTTCATTTAAATTGCTAAATGTATGTACCTAGAGTTATAAATATTCAGTCATTGTCCTTTAAATATCTTTATGATTATTGTGTGCAACAAACATTATACAATAAAATGGGAAATGTAAATCAAATATGAAGAAAAATGCTTCTTCTATAAGTAAACTTAAAGCAATAAACTTAGCCTTAGAGACTTAGGTGAACAGATATATTGCCTATCATTAAGATAAAAACTGAACAATTCATATTTGGACATATCCTTATACAAATAAATTTTATAATTTGTTGAATTCATTTAACAAATTATGGAAAGAAAGTTCAGCATGTTTTTCCAATGTAAGCATTCAACTTTTTACATTTTAGTAGAATGGTCTTCAGATTTCTAAACATAAAACATTATCAAATAGGCTAGCTACAGTTCGTTTAGGATTTGCTCAGACTTATTTTGATAACTATATAAATTGCCCTTTTGCACTATTCCTCTCACCTGGCAGAAAGAAGTAAACCGTTACTAAATCTGTATCTTCAGGATAGTAAAAAACAAAACACCATACAATTATTCTACGAGTTTATATTGATGTTTTGTAAAAATGTCTTAGATTTCTAGCAAATGATATTCCCCTAGAACCACTGTGGGTATAAAGCTGGATCAACTTAATATCTGTAAAGGAGTTAGTTGACATACAATTTTAGTTCCGCTCATAGATCTTTTGAAGAGTGTGAACCAACTGTATTCTTTCTTGTATCAAAATTCTAGATTCTTAAGTAAATTAGTTGATTGTAAATTAAAAAATATATATATATAAGTTAGCAGAGCAGTGTTTCATTTTGAATTGCCTTATAATATAGGATTGAATAAAGTTGTTTAATATATATATTGAATAAAAAATAATTAAGTATTTTTAGGTCTTTAATAGTTGCCAGTTATAGCTAATCAAAAAGTTGGTGCTTTAAACTTGACTTAAAAACATTTAAAACAAGTAAAGGGTTTCCAGTATGAATAGCATATTCTGGGATTGGCGGATGAAGCAGGAGGTCATAGAAGATCCTAGGATGTGTGCAAAAAAGGAGACATAAGGAAGCCGTGGTTAACTTTCAACTTTCTGCCTGTTTTTACTTTTAATGAACAGGAAGCATTCAACACTTATATTTTGATAGTTTCAAAGAAGTAATCAGAGTGAAAAGTTCAGAGGATATTTTATTCCTGACATTGCGGTTGTTGAAAAGAGCTTGGTCTCCATAATTTACATATAAATGAATTTCAATACCAAGTCTGTTAGTTTTTTGTGATCTTGGATAAATCTGAGCCTTAGATTATTTAACTAAAAGTGGGTAGAGTCATATTTATTTCATATGGTCATTAATTTGGTTTAAAACGTGGTTGAAAGCAACAGCACAGAGTTTAGAATGGAGAAAATAATGTTTTAAAAAGCATTAGGTTAATTCATAACACTTGCAGTTTGCTTGATGGCTGTAACGAGTACTGTGATAATTTGGATTCAGGCTCACAACTGGCTCATCCTAAAAGAGGCTAGCAATATTCAAAAGGAAAGGAAGTGATTTCAAGAGCAATGAAGCGCAGAGATAGAGAAGCCAGTAAACATTAATCTGGCTTGCTAGAGAGTTCCAAATTGAACTTGGCACCTTCCACTTCTTAGCTTAACATAGTAGCACGAAGAAAATGGGTACGAAGTCCTTATTTTTTTCTATTATAACACATATACCGTATTTACATGTATGAATGAAAGAGTCCCATGAATGCACCAAATTGCAGGGTGTTCCAGATATAAAAAAGGCCACAGGTTATGTGCAATCTCTTGTCTTCTATATCTTCCTCTTCCATTAAAGAAAGTTTAATAGATGTGTGCATGAGAGAAAGTGGGGTTATTATATGGACTACCTTTATAATACTCTACGTTTTAAAAAAGTATTAAAATCACCCATTTATACAGTTCAGTAACTTAACTATAATTATTTTACTTGCTCAAACCCACAATGAAATGTGGTGCCACAGTTAAGTGCCACTACTAAAAGGATAGAAGGCATATTAAAAGCGTTATATAATTTTAAAATATTAAGCTTGGTATTATTCATTTTATCATTATTGTTTATTGCACTTTTATAAATAACAGTCTTTTTATGGTTGATGGAATTATAACTCTGATTTTATTACATCTCACTTACCTGAAGCCATTCAGACTGCTGACCTATACTACATAGTGAAAAGACTGGCATCTAGTGTCAACTCCTTTAAATTATAAAATCAATCAGATGCTGCATTTGTTGTATTAGTTGCATTAGTCACTCTGTTTGTATTGTACTTCTAATATTTGCAGTTGGATTTCTTAATCTGCCACTTCAGATCAAGTTTTAATTCTGGAAAAAATTAAATAAGAAAGCAGTCTTCCATTTCGGTGCAGTTTATTCATGAACAACGTGGGTCCTGCCACCTCTGACTATGAGCTCTCAGTGGATTTAGATAATAGTGCTTCCCATAGTGACTATCTCGTAGCTGAAGAAACAGCCAGTAAAGGTCAAGGAGAACAGCTTCACTGGATCTCTTTTATCCCTATCATCAACACTATTACAGTGTGCTGAATCAGTTTCAATTTTGTCCTTTCTTAAAAGTCACTGACACAGCAAAGAAATTGACGTTTTGACAAGCGTAGCTGACCAGAGCTACCAAACCGAGAAAAAGATACTATTAATATCACTTTTATAGAATGAGAAAATCATAGACAGAATTTTAAATTGTTGTCCAGGAGGATTCTGTCAATCAGTTGTTTAACCAATACCATATGTGAACATGAGGGCCTCCTTTTCGAGTGAATCAGTGCTCATGTATTCAATATTCACTCAACAAATATTTACTGAAGCCCACTGTGGGTCAGACACTCTGCGGGACATTATTTCCCTCAGCTGTCTTTGAAGTGAGGATAATTTATCAAGTCAAAAGGTATCCAGGCCATTAGGGAAAAAGAAAAAATTCTAGTTTGAATACAAGAAATGAAAAATGCACTTGATAACTTTAAGCTACACTTTCAATCAATTGCCAGCTTCAGTGCAACAGACATATTCACACCATACTACTTCCTTTAGCATTTTAACATTTTGCTACTTTCTTTTTCCACATATGTGTGTTCCAGGATATGTTTTTAATGACTTCTCTGCTTTTCAGGGAAAAGTGATAGCTGTGTGCACTTCAGATGTCTTGCTTCAGGGAAATGATGGCTGGCAACTGCTATTCTTGGAGGTTGCTTCCATTCAGATCCTGTATATTGTAGGTAGGCAGCTGGACTAAGCATAGTTCTTACCACAGCAATTTTCAGCAAATTGTTCTGCTAAATAGAAATATATTACTTGAAGGCTGGAAAAGTGATGATAAACCTGACCCTTCAGCTGTGCTTTTAAAGGTCATTTTGGTTAAATATAGGCAAATTGTGGCACAAAGTACCTTTTACTTGCTGTTTCTCACTTATGTCTCCCCTCATACCTCATTATGCTAATATAATGACTTATTTGACAGAGTAGTTTAATCCATAATCTTGGAAATATATAATGGATTTAATTTTCAAGGTTACATTTTCAGAAAACTATTAATGCCCCTTTCAAAGTCATTGAGACTGAATTATGTTTCAGCAAAATATTAAGTACATTAAAGGTCCCTTTTAGATTCAAGTAAAGCCAACAGGCAATCCAGTTGCAATTATTTAACTGCTTTGAGCTCTGAATTGTTAAACTTATTATGAATTATCCATGCTAACCATTATCCTGAAAAATTAATCCTCTCTGCCACATTCAAACTTCATCAGAGACTGTCACCAAAATAACTGCATTTTTTTAACTGTCATAGCTTTTCATTTTTCAGTGTTTATTAGATAATGATTCTTAAATATTTGGAAAATATTTTTACCTGAATTAAATAAGATTGTCTCCTGTTAAAAAAGTGGCTTTTCATTTTCAACAGAACACAGGTATCTATATGTACCATGTTCTCCATCAGCATGGATGCAATCAGAACCACTAAAATTTATGTACATAATATTGAAAAAATCACCAGCACCAGATTGTAGTAATAATGAGTGGGCCTTATAATTAAGTCCTAAAAACTTTTCAGTCTCTGTGATTCTCATCAATAATCTGGCCAAAAACTCAGAACAGACACATGTCAACTGGGGAAATTATCTGCTAGTGGTACTGAGAAGACAATCTTAGCGATTCTTAGCTGTCAAAGAACCTACTAGAATCATCAGTGGGCCCACATTCCTCCCAACACAGATATATTGGTTACTACTATTATAGTTATCCTGCTGCTCATCCTAGGAAATTAAATACTTGAAGTATGTTGAAATATGTAGTTGGCGTGAGTGGGAGTAAATAATATCAGACTTATGTGTGTGTTTGCCAGGACTATTTAAGCTCTTGTGGAATTCTTGATACCTTACAAATTTTAGACTCCTTTCATTTAGTACCTTATCCTCTAAAAGGGAAATATAGGCAGTACTAAATGAAAACATATAGGAAGGTGTATAATAATGCCAAGAGGATAAGGAAATATATACATGGAAATCTCCAAAAGAAATAGGCAGGAAATATGTATAGGTATGAGAGAAAGTATTTGGAGAACAGAGCAACTTTCAAAATAAAGCAGGTATGCAACATTTTTTAAGAGTAGGACTACTGAAAAGAAAACCACAAAGTGAAGCACAGAATCTCAAGGATGGTTGAAGACTGCCATCCTGAAGCAATAAGAGCGTGGGTAAACATAGTAGGATTAAAATAAAGGTTAAAAGAATGATGAGGGTGATGATATTCCTTATAAATGATATTCCAAGAAAATGATTTTCCTTGTTTCAGTAAGAACTATACCTCTGCTCACCCAAAACCTTGAGAGAAGGGTTAAAAGTGTTTATGAGAGGTAAGAGGTTGTGACATAACTTTTGTAAGGCTGTGTATCATTTATGATCTGTACTTCTAATTCAAAGAGATATTTCTATCATTTCAAAACTTGAGAAGCTAGGATAATTTTTATCTGCTAATTTGATAAGTCCAAGAATTACTAGAATGGCTGGTCCACCATCCTTGGGATGTTGGGCTCCCACACATTTCCAAGATGATTCATAACCATACCTGCATTTCAGCAAGTGGGAAAAGGGACAACAGAAAGCAAAATGCCATCCTCCCTGTTATGGGAAGGAATGGGAAATTGTAAACATCATTTCCACCCACATCTCATTGGCCACAGCTTAGTTACATCATCACTCTTAGATATAATAGAACCTGAGAAATCTGGTATTTATTGTGGATATCTGTGTACATGACTAAAATCTTATGCTCCTGCAAGTAAAAAGAGAATTTAAAAACAAAACGAAACAGAGGTTATGCAATTAGAACATGTGGCACAGGCAGCTACAACAAAGAAGCGGGTAAAAATAAGATGTCAGGCTAGTCTACAAAAGCAAAGAAGGGGAGCATTCAGAAGGTTATTTATAAATGTAGCAAGCAGGGCAATGGAATTACTAATTGTAGTTTTTCATGCAAAAACAACCAAAACTAACCCTGGTTATATAGGTAGAAAAGGATTTATTAGAAGGCTTTGTGTAGTTCACAGAACCAACAAAAAGGCTGGAAAAAATGGTCAGGAGTTTAAAGAAGGTAGACAGTTTGGTATACACCAGATCATTACTCAGGACCAGTGTAGTTATAAAGTCACTACCACAAATACCTTCACTACCGAATACAGGTTGCTAGGCTACCAGACTCTCATCTCTATTGCCACTGCTGTATCAAAAACCTCTTACCACACATTTTTTTTTGGTATTCCTCCCAGTAGGAACATACAGTCAGCTGAGCATCTAGATACACTGTACATCTGATTGTGTTTACTGACCGGGTAAGAAGAGTCATCAGCCCCTTTTCAGTTTCTTCAGTGTGTTTGCATGTAATTCACCATGTGCATCATACATACACACAAACATTCACATTTTCTGAAAAGCCAGTAAATGGGAATTTTCCTTCTTTCAGTTTCAATTATTTAATGAAACAGAAATCACAATACCTGCAGCTCTTATGTCAGCAAAAGTTTCTTCATAATTCAGTAGTAAACATTATTTGGTAATATTATTTTAAAATGTCTACAGAATTACAATAAATACATGATTATGCTTCCCCTAATATTCAATATTTTAAAGCAAATCCAATTTAATAATCCACAAATCTCTTAAATGACTCCCAAATCACATTCCTCAATACCAATATGTAAGATGGGGATTTTAAACATATTAAAAACTTTCCCAAAGATTTTCTATTTTTTCTAAATAATTTTATACTATTAGTTCAAGCAAAATATGAAAAGATATAAACACAAAAATATAAATAACAAAATCATATAAATATTAATTTAAAACTGTTTCAGGTACATCATGAAACAAACACAAAAATAATGACTTAGGCAAATGCTTCCTTCTGGAATTATTCTGTCAAGTCCCCTACAGGGAATGATGACTTATGCTAGAATGAAGGAAAAAATCAGTGAAGTAGAAAAATGGAGTTCAGCCATTCGGCCAGCTGACAGCATTATGATTAAATTTGACATGCAGTAATCTAGAAATCAAAACTGCAAACTAGTTAGCACCAAACAAATTTTATAACTTTACAAAGATCAACCTTGAAGACAAGTAAAGTCAAGTTTTGATAAATTGACCATATACACTGAAAAGAATAAAAGATGTTTCAACTTAAAAGAAAAAAGGGTTTCTTTCAATAAGAGTTAAGATGTAGGACAAACCTATAACATAACCCACATGTATATTAGTGTGTTTGTGTGCATTTGCTGTAGATTTTGGCTTAACTAGGAAAATTGGAGAAGAAAAATAAGATGAAAATGAGTTTTATGAAATAAAGGAAACACAAGACATAAAAGAATAAGAGCTTATTTTATGTTCAGAATGGAAAAAGTTAGTTGTAAACACTTAATAAAAAACAATTAAAATGCATAAAACCTACCTCCCAGTGAAGTTAAATCCATTTTCCTTAAGAACAAGGGATCAATGAAGAAAGAAATTAAATGAGTCTAAGTTGGAGTGGGAAATTAAGTTACTGAGGTTGGCAAATGAGAGTAGGTGATGGATTGGTACTTTCAATACCTTTGGGAAAAAGGATATTAAAACCATATCATTGATCCAGTTTTGTACTTGTGTTATCTAAGACTCTTTGAAAGAATGTCTAATGAGGTGGAATTAGGTTTGCCAAAATGTTTTATGCCATATATAAACAAATTATTGAAACGCTTGATATTTTTTCTAAAACATTATGCTGTTTGACTATTAACTGGAAGAAAATGATCAAAAGGAATGAGAAGGAATTGTTTTTGGACCAGAAATTAAAATTATAAATATTTTAATTTACCTTCAACAACCATATGGCACAGAATCTAAAATAGTAAAAATCCAGTAACCATCTTACTTTCTAATTTTGTTGTAAAAATTAAAATAAAGCATCTAAAGCACTGGTCTTGGCACATAAAAAAAGATCCATAAATATAATAATAATGCAATAACAACAAAACAGCAAGAAATAATAACAGCAACACTAAGAACAGTAATAGAAGCTTGAAAAATGACAGCTAATATGATATAATGACTGAGAGATGTACAAAATGAGTTTATGCTCTTGCCTCCTTCCTACATATTCCAGAGTTTGTGATTGAGTCATTTAAACCCATCAAACCTTAGACATATTATTTCTTAAATGAGAGTAGGGCAGGAGCTAGTCTTGCTGTACCTTGCCTCTTGGCATTGAGACAAGTCTCAGTTAAAGAAACAGCCACCCACTCTTCATTAATGAAACTTGACTATGTTTATTGTGTTGGCTTCTTTGAGTTACAAGAAATCAAGACTCAGATAGTCAACCTCAACTAGTGGAATTTTGTTTAGTGATGCATAAGGAAGATAATATTTCATGGGTATCCCAGGACTGAGACATAGTTTGGAAACTATCAGATAAATTGTACTTAAAATATATCTATCACCAATGCTAGGACTCTATTATCATAAGCTGATGGGACTTGGGATTAGATTTTCTGCACAAAATGTAGCCCACCGTAACTGGGGTAAGCACATTAGGTGTTAACACATTCATGATATCATGCTGTCATCACCAGCCTCTGCCATGAAGAACAGACCCTTGGAAGGTAGAGGCATTTGATTATTACCAGCAGATTTAGTTGGGCCCTGACAACTAGGTTTGCAAACCCCTTCTCTCTCAGGGTTAGAACCAAACCTGGTTTCTCTTGTGCAGATAAGAGTACCTGTATACTACCAGTAATTCCTTTTAACATTATGATCTGATAGAGAATAAGTTCAAAGTTAGCTAGCCAAATGAGATCATAGTATTATTATCTATTATGCTAGCAACCTATAAGCCCAAATTTACTTTCTAAATGTTACATTGAGTTATATTACTTTTTAGGTATTACTAAGAATGAGTCCAAACTGAAGCTTCCTACTGTCATCAGAATTTAATCTTTGAGTCTATAAATCCAAGAAGCCATATAGTGAGCATTAGGGGATTATGTCTTATATAGTAATGACTAGTACCAATGAATTTCATGTAGTCCAGAACGCCATGTCATCTTATGCTTTATGCCTTCCAGTATTCTCTTTCCTCTGCCTGGAATGCACTCTCCCACCTGTTCACCTGGAAAATTAGTTATTCTTCAACACTCAATTCTTAACTAAAGCTCCATCTACATTTTGAAACTTCTCTATTCCTCCAGCAAATACAGTGCTTTATTGCCCAGGCTTATATCACATAGATTCACATAATGAATTAAAATGATTTGTCCCTCAGTCATATTCCATGTTGTTGACATAAGGAATCATGTCTTTTAATTTTTCTATACCTCTGAGACAACCACAGAGGTATAGAAAACTTAGCTACAACTAACTCAGATTAGATACTTTGAGATAAAATAGTGCGTATTGCTCATGGTGTTCTGTGAAACTATTTCTATTCCTGATCCAGAGGGGAGACTACTGTATGCATGAAAGATCATTCACCTGTGTATAGTTTCATCTAATAACCAACAAGTAAGATTAATATTAGAACAAAAGGTTTAAAGTTGCATATTTACCATTTTATACCATTAAAATGTAACTTCATTATTAATCCTCTAGTATTTTTGTAAAATCATGTACTAAGATAACTTTATGTCTTTTGATGAATTGGTGAGAAAATGGAATTGAATAGGTCAATCAGCCAATGGGGATTGAGCACTTGCTTTGTATATGGGATTAGTACATAAAAATTACTGATATGATCCACAATTTCCAACTTTTATTGATATTCAGAGCATCAACATTTGAAAGATTAAATAATGTAAGGGATTAATATTAATATAGTCTAAACTGCAACGTGAAGAATTGGCAACCAAGGAAAACTGCAAAACTTTAAAAATAAGAGTCTAATGGTCTTTCTGTAGAACAATGTGAGGCATAATTTGGTACTTTTCTTATTCTGGTAGACACCTGTATCTTAAAACAGAAAATACTATATTATTTTCCAATAAGTGAGGATTACTGGCTCAAAGGAAGGTATGGATCACTTTGCTAAACGAGGACATATTTCCTTTTCTAAATGAATTGAAATTATACAAACTATGCCAAAGGAGATGTGTGTTTGGAGACTGCACATGCTTAACAGAATAACAATCAATCAGTTAAGGGAGTAATTTATCTAAAGTACATATTGATGGTACTACCAACAATGGAATCCAACAAGATATCCCAGCCACCCTTGGCCCAGGCACCAGTCACTGGAATCTGGATACCACATTCCGCTCTTGGTATATCACTGGCCTTCCAGGTAATTTTAAAGGCAACTCCTTCAGAAAGGTAACTGCATTCAGAAAATCTAAGTGGATCACAACTGCACAACATATCAGGGGCTTGAATATACCCCGGGAGCAAGGCCCTCTGTGTGGGCCAGGTTGGGGTTACTTGACAGTGACACTGATTTTCTATGAGGCTAGAGTAGGTAAATATTCTGGAAATGGACTGATGAAGAAACGTTTGCACAAGAAAGAATATAGGGAAATGAAGATTGGCATGTCCCATCAAGAGCAGGGACACCTGCGAGAAACCTCTTGATGAAGGATTGACCTTCAATTGCTTTCCTCTGTAAGCAGGAATTGCTGTCTGAATGAATCTAGGGCGCAGAAAGGTAAAATTACTTTCCTAACATTGAATGTGGTTTCATATCCTAGTAGCTTGATTAAGATCAGGTCTAAAGACCGCACTAATCTTTTTAACACCAAGGCTTTCCTCTTCAAATTATAAATTTTCCTTATACATTGTAATTTCTCTTTAAAATTGTACTACTTTTGGCCATGAGGAGATCTTCAACATTTGTTGAAGAGAATTGCCTGAAGAACTATGTGGTAGGGAAAAGGAACCTTAACCAAAGTTACTTCTCACAAGTACAGAGGTGGCAACAGCTTGGAAAGTACCCAGTACTCAGTTGCCAGTAGTGTGCTTTGGAGCAGAAAGGCAGCCTGTGAAATATAGGGAGTAATAAGGAGATGACTTAGTTGCTGAAGAAACACTCTGAGATACACAAACTCAAGACAAATCAAATGCTTCATCCCAGAAGGTGAAAAGTAGCTATTCTTTGAAAGAAGTCCAGATTTCTGGATTAAAAAAAAAATGCACACTAACATTTTTCAAATGTAAACCCAACAATTTTTATATTAAACCTTTAATTCCAAAGATATTTTGTTTATTTTGTTTTGTTTTAGAAAGAAATAACCAGGCAGCCCTAGTGAAGTGGTTGGTAAACTTGTCCTGAAGTATGCACAATAAATATCTCTGTCTCTACCAAATTTAGTCGGTATTCTACGAGGTGATGGCCCATCATTTAGCCACTCAGAAATTTTGAAAAGTATTAGCTAGAGCTGAAACATAAAATTCTGGCTTCTGTGAAAATAATAAAAAAAATTAAACAGTCTTATGGATTTAAAACCTGAATGAAGGAGGTGCCCATCATAAGTAGGTGAATAAATAAATTGGGGGATGTTAACATGAGGAAGTATGCCATAATGAAAATGAGCAAACTGCAACCACATGCAAGAACACAGATGAATCTAACAAACATAATATTGATGGAAAGAAGCCAGACCCAAAGCAGTATATACTATATGGCTGCACTTCTATAACAACAAACCAGACAAAATTAATCTATGGTGTTTAGTTAAGATAGTGGCTAACTGTAGACTAGCGTAAATTGTATCTGAAAGAGGACAATGAGAGGGTTTGAGGAGTAATATTATGTCTTTGATCTGGGTTGTAGTTACATAATTATGCTCAATTTGTAAAAGCCAATTGATTTGTGCACCAGTGATTTTGTGTGTGGGGGGGTGGGGGTGGGGGTGATGCTTCAATATTTTTTTAAATTCTGTATAAAATACTGAACCTAGATAAAGTGAGTCTCAATGAATATCTCATTTCAAGCAACTCCACCAATAAATGAAGGTTTCCTTCTTGGCAAACTTTAAACTGATAATGTAGAGGAAAAAAGTAGACTTAGAGAGAGGAAGCGAAATAGATATTGCAACAATAAGAAATCTAACTAGCTTTGTGTTTTTAACACAATTAGGTGTAATTATCTGTGCCCTCAGATACAGAGCTTTATTCTCTGTCAGGTAACTGACATTTTAAAATGCTAAACTTATATGAAATAAAAAAGGTATAGCTAATTTAAAATTCCTATGTTTTTCTTATTTATTAATATAGACTTTCTTGGTAAAAGAATTCAGATTCCTTTGAAATTTTTCATTATTTATTCATTTTTAACACCAGAGGAAGTTGGTAATGGTAGTCACACTTTCACTTGGCAGAAACTGAGAAACAGGTACATAAAATGAATCCCTAGTGAGCTAGATTTGAAATAACATATTGTATGTTTCTTTTATCTTAATCTGAAAATGTTTCTCCTTATAAGAATATCCACACATTTTGTGGCATGCCTAGCCCAGAGTATATCTAAGCATAATATTTACTTGGAGACTGCTAATCAAGCATGCATGCTATTGTGGTTTCTTTATCCAATTTGATAGATGGACACAGGCAAATTGAAGGGCATCTATGCACTTGAATGCTTGCTTTCCTCCACTTCAGTTGCCCTGCACTTGAATGCTTGCTTTCCTCCACTTCAGTTGCCCTGCAATTGAAAACTTTTCAGTTAATCGCTTTGCTTTGTTTAAAACAGTTCTCTTCTAAAATTACCAAAAGAAAACATTAGCAAGAATTTTAGGAAAACCTCTGAACTGGAATTGGAACATTGGATAGAATGAGGCAGCTCAGAGGAGCATTTACCCTAACTTCTTTGGCTACATGGGGTTTCTCAGTGTATTCCTGTTTTTGGATGCAAACTCTCTGATCTCTTCTAGATATTGATAATTTTCCATTTTCTGCTCATTATCTCCTAGCTTTTTCTTACTTATAGTCTCTGCTCCCTGCCAAAGAAACCCTGCGATTTTTATATTAAGATTCTTGATTGCGTATAACAAGATCCCACTAAAAACAGCTTAATTTTAAGAGGAAGAGGGATGTTAATGGTATATACAGGTAAGATCTCAAGGGCAAGAATGCAGCTGGTTTTCAAGAAAAGAACCAGGAGTATTTTGCCTTGAATATTCACCTCTGATTTTCATTGTATGTTTTCTTTATTCTCTCTCCCTCTCTGTAGTCCAGATTTCTTTGTTCCCTATTCTGCATGATGAAATATTTCCACCCAGAGTTCATAAGCACAACTTCAAAGCCAACCAATAAAAAGAAGTTGCCTTTCTCTCAGTTCCAATTCCATCTTAGGAGAAAATATATAATTGCAAATATGATCATAGAAGTAAGACCTTCCAGTGAAGCACGGCTGGTAGAAACACACTCTTGAGCTGGGGTGGGCAATTCCCGGACAGAGGGCCTGAACAGAAAAGCCAGTAGTTGAAGATCAACATGCAATCACTCCAGTGGCTGCAAATCTTTCCCAAGGTGTCCTTAGCTCTGAATCTTTTAGTCTACAACAATTAAATTGGTACTTTCTAGTTCGAATTCCAGAGAGAGTGGATGCTGTTTCAAACCATTTAATTCGTGCACCCTGCTAGGCAGTGCATCCACTAGCCAGTCTGGGATTTGACAGCCCTGGTGCCAAAGTCTTGAAGCACAGCACATTATTGCTTAGGTGTCAGAGGATAGATTGGAGTCAGATTTTCCCAGAAGGCATGGTAGACATTCTAAAAAACTTTGTCTGTCCAGAACCATAGCATAGCTCTCAAAGGAATGTCAAAGAGAAATATCACAAATATATTCTTTATATAACAATGTTAACGGAGGTCGTGCTAAGGATCATTATGCCTTTGGAGATGTTCTTTGAAGGGAAAAATAAAATTCTGTGGACAATTATGTTTGGGATAAACTGCAAGGCTAATTCCCCTTCTTGAGACTTATAAAATAATATTAGATTATTAAATACTCTGAGAAGAGCCTTCATTTAACCCATTTACTCAAGCTTACTCGTTCTTGGTAGCATAGTTACAGCTCTTACTTTGCATAGTACAGAAACCAAATATTCAAATTATATTATGTGGGGAAAAACTGAGGAAAATTGTAACCCAATTTCACATATAAACTAGGAAGTGGGACATTAAAGCTCATAAAAATTGAGAGAATTTTCTCTCTTGTTCTTCTTGTCTCTTTTCCCTGAAAAATTGCTTCAGTCTTCCCCACAAGCCTGATTCTGTACTCAATCAGTGTACATGGCAAAAGGTTACTTCATCAACTGATTTTTTAAAATTTCCCTTTCAAAAATACCATTTCAGACTTAAACTTAGAATTTTTTATTTCTGATAATTCAAGGGAAGGTACTTAGGAATAGTGATGAAGGCAGGAATAGCATTAGGTGGCTGGTAAATTAGTCACCTCACTGCCAGAGGTCAATACCTGTATATTAAAGAAAGAAGAGGACATAAATCCCAGTCAAAAAGGAGGGCCATTAATTCGCTGTCCAGGAAGTTAGAATAAAATATCATGGAAAAGTTATATTAAAGTTAACTGAGAACCAGCATCAGTTAACATTAATAGAGTATATATTATGAAACATGTATGGTTCTAAACACTCTATGTATTCTAGTTCATTTAATCCACATAGTGTTGTGGTCTTTCTGCTCCTTAGCTCAGCTAGGTCTGAGTTCTTATCTCACTACCAGGAAGAATTAGGCATGGGGACACTGGAGAGTGAGTGGAGTAGAATTTGTTAAGCGAAAGGAAAACTCTCAGCAGGGAAGGGATGCCAGGGGGGGCAGGGCGGTGGTTCCCCTACCCGAAGGACAGAAAAGTCCCCAGCGTGGCTGGATCTGGGGCCCTTTATGGACTCAGAATGGGGAGTGCATGCTGATTGGTTTGTGAGTATGCAAAAAAGTTTAAAGTGAAGACATCATTCAAAGGTGTGCATGACAGTGTAGAAAACCAATTAGGAAAGGGTAGATACATGCAAAATAGGTGAAGGGTGGAGATCAATCTGAGGAAAATACGCCAAATGGGAAGACAAGTTCTCAATCCGGTTGCAGGATTGAATTTGTCACTTAGCTTCCAGGCTTTAAATTGTCTTCAGCTTGAAGGTGAGGTTTCACTGGGGACTTGCTTCTATCTGCCTAGGCATGTGGCTGCCTCCTGCCACTCTCAATAGTAATGCTACTAATGAATGCGTTATTCCTGTTTTCCAGATTAGAAAACTGAGGTTGATAAAGCTTAAGTAATTTGACTAAAAACATGCAGCCTATAATCTGTAAAGCCAGGATTTGAGCAACATAGCTGACCCTATAGGTCTGTAGATTTAAACAGATTTTAGTGATTTTTATATGTAAAGGTGGGAGGTAAAAATAGTAAAATTGTCATATTGAGCCCTAAACTTAATAATAAACCAAACAATTAGAATGTTTAGCTCGTTATGGATAATCATGTAATTTTATACAAAAAAAGTTATATAGTGGTATCTTTAAGCATCCTCAAATATCATTCTTTTTTCTTCTGACCATAGACAAACCCTGGTCAAATCTGCCTCACCTAATCTTCTTTGGTTTAATTTAGACTTCCTCTTGAAAAGTCTCAACCTAAAATTGGAGTACCTCAGTTATTTGCAAGATTCAGATAAGATTCACTTATGTTTATTATGAAGTGTGAATATCAAGCATGTCCATCAGTTATCTCTAATTGTGTGAGGAAGACAGTGTTGCATAACAAACAGGCCTCCTTTGTTGTTGAATAAGGCTTTGTTTTTGGTGAGCTTTGATTAGTCAAAAGCCTAATAAAATAAAATTTATCTCATTCTATTTGCCAAGGATATCAAATCACCTTTGTAAAAGCAAAGTAAGTGTTCTTAGGAGTTAGTTCCATTTGTACTTTCAGGTTCCTTTTCTAAAGAAACCATGTAGTATTTTAACTTTAGGAGGGCTTAAAAAGCCAGAGTAGGATGGGAAAATAATTTCTTGGGGGACTAAGGAGACCCCACACAGTACAGAAAGGCGTTGGCTATTTATGGAGCTTTCAGACTGATTCCTAGAGAGATAGGCTAAACGCAAATGGGAGCTTATGCATTTTATACCCTTCAATAACCAACTATACATGAAAACAAACCTATTTTAGCAAAATTCCACAGAACTGCTTCATTCTATTTTAAATTTGTGGAACAGTTTAAAGATACTCATAACTACATAATTCTTGGGGTATAAAGGATAAAATATTTTTCATAAGTCAAAGGTCTATAATAAGTTGAAAAACTACTAAAACAAAACAAAACAAATACAGTGTTCTCAGATTATCTTGCAGCAACAGGAGCAGAAGAATGTGTTGTCTTCATACAAGGGTAATGTGTTGACATCTCTGCCACTGTTTTTAAAAAATCCTAATATTGGTATAATTATTCCCAGATATTTAAATATACAATATTTTAGTATAAATTTTATGTTTTATTCTATTTCAATATAAATTTTAGATGGATGTGGTAGCAGAGAAAGGGGTTATCTGTCCAAAATCTGGGGTCCCTGTTACTTAAGTGCAGATTTTTCACTGGAGGTAAATGCCTCCTAGACCCCATTTCCCAGACTCCATTGCAGTTAGGCAAGTTAGGTGTAGCCATGTAACTGAGCCTAAGGCAGTAGAATGTGAGAATTTCTGTGCACTCCTTCTAGGTTTGACCCAAAAAATCTCCTCCAAGTTTTGTTCTTCCAATTTTTTCCCTTTTCTAGCCAAGTCAGTGCCCAACGAAACTTTAGAAGCCCTGTGTTGAAAATAGCTATATTAATCAGCCTGTCTCACTGAAAACCACATGGAGCAAAGTCCTTCCTCATTCCAGTTCTACCCCAAATTATGAGTAATGCTGCATTGGAATGTCATGTAGGCAAGAAATAGAAATAGTGCTGTGTTAGATCTCTGAAATTTTGGAGTCTATTTTAGCAGCTAATGTTATGCTAACAAATACAGAAGCAACTATTGGAAAGTTGTTTAAAATACATTATCCTTTTTAAAAAGAAATTTGTTTTGAGACAGTCTCGCTCTGTCACCCAGGCTGGAGTGCAGTGGCACGATCTCAGCTCACTGCAACCTCCGCCTCCCAGTCCAAGTAATTCTCCCTGCCTCAGCCACCCGAGTAGCTGGGATTACAGGCACCTGCCACCACTCCCAGCTAATTTTTGTATTTTTTAGTAGAGACTGGGTTTCGCCATGTTGACCAGGCTGGTCTTGAACGCCTGACCGCAGGTGATCTGCCCACCTCGGCCTCCCAAAGTGTTGGGATTACAGGTGTAAGCCACTAAGTCTGGACTAAAATATATTATTCTTTAATGTGCAATGTTATTAAAGCTTTTTCTTATTTCAATATTTTAATTATAATTTTATAATGATTGTAAAATATAATTGAAAACCTCATTAATGCATGATTTTATGTAGTATATATTTATGGAGAAAACTACTATATGTAAGATCCAATTTTCGATAGTAAAAGATATAAATATTACATATATCCCTGTCTGCTAGGAACTTACTCTGCTTGAGGAGAAAATAAAGCATTCAACTAATTATAATTTAATATAGTATTTGACAAGTAACCGTAAATTGATGTCCATTGGCAATAAACCATTATTAGATAGAAGTGGCAAAAAGTGGAGAAAGGAAGAACAAGTATACTATTTTTTTAAGTTATATTGAGGAAAATCTGAATTATTTATATTAGGAAGAGATATGGTTACCATTTCATCTGAAACAGATCAACAACAGAGAGTGACAGAAATTGTATCAACACAAAGGATTAAATTTATATTAAGGAAAAAGAGAATTACCAAAGACTTGTGAGTAGATCACTATATAACCAAAATACTTTTAGAAAAGTGAATCTGTTGGCAGTGCAGAAAGTGGAAAGAATGGAGAGCCAGGTAGAAAGGTAAAAAGTTCCAATGAACAAAATACTCAAATTATAAAGTAATCAGAGCTTGAAAGAGAGTTGTTGCAAGGGAAATGGAGAATGAGAAGCACATTTGAAAATACTAGATATTTTAAGGAAAGAACACAATTTCAAGAATGAGTAGACTGGGCTAGGGACAAAAGTGATAATCAAACACATTTGTTTTCTGACTATTCTAAATTAAACAGAGATCTTCCAAACCATTAATGTAATTAGAAGTCTGTAATTAAATTTCAATATCATCTACTCTCTTGCATATAATGACATTATTTTTCATTTATTTATAAATTAATTATAAATTCCATCAATTAAACATAATTATTTAAGCATTGCCTGTCCAAAAAATTTCATTCTGTGTGGACAGATGCTCTAATGTTGACACAAATGTCTGCCTAATGATAGAAACACATTGTTGACTAAGCAAATTAAATAAATGAAGGAAAATTTTTTCCACTCTCTTTAGTGTTAATCATAGATACCCACTGCAGCCACCTCCTTCAACATTTTAGAGAAAAGACTGTAGCAATATCATGTATCTCTGTTGACATCATTAGCTGGCATCCTTTGGATAGCCTAAACCAAAATCAATGTAAAAATTAATTTAACTAGTCAAAAACACTCATGTCTAAGGTTTAGAGGCTTCAATTTACATCACTGCACTTTAAAGACAGGCTGTTGTATGACTAGTTTGGGAGTCTCATCCTTATAACTAAAAGATTGCCTCTCAGTTGAAGATGGGCAATCTTGAGTCTTAATCAAAATTAACAAAATTGGTATCAATTTTATTTCCTGCCTAGGCAAAATAGCAAGTTTTCTGATACTAAACTGAGCATTTAAAAGTTCACGAAGATATAAAAGAAGCCAAATCTTGAGAAAATTTTTAAAAACTGTTAGAATTTGAAGATTCCATAACAAAGTCGGTGTGGAATTTCCATTAATCACCCCGTTAATTATAATAGGATGAAAATAATATATTTGAAGTGTCTACTACATACTTGAATTCCTACATCAGAACAAGGTAAGGAATACTAGAAAAGGAAAAGACTGACTTTAATTTACCCAGTGTCTTGATCCATGTCTGGAATATAGACATTCCCTTGTTTCTCTCTGTTTCAGTAAGTAAGCATGGAGAACCCAGTTTGGTCATTCTTCTCCCTAAACATCCATTCATTCATTTCATGAAAAAAAAATCCTGTAATGCCAACTTGCTTAAGAAAATGTGTTGAAATCAAGACAGGTGCAGGAAAAGCATCCCTTTATCTTTATAGAGAACTGTAAACTATATTGCTAACAATTTCATGGGTTAGTCAGAAAATAATTGACCATTTTAGACAAATAGCTGTTAGGCATTGGAAATTGATAGCCATCATATTTTAAATAGATCTTCCTCTATTCAAAATGACTAAACAAAAATCCTAAAACTCCCCAAAAGAGTATGCAACATAAAGAAAATAAAATAATGTATTGATAGACAACATACTTATGTAATTAATTTTTTTGCAAGATGTAAAGGAAAGTTTTAGTGACACTTATTTGACTCCACCAAAAGCTTACTCTCTAAAACAGGATTGGAGGCTATACTAAGTAAGTGAACTAAAATGCAGAAATGAAAAACAAATACTTTTTTATAAAAACATGTAGAAAAACCCAAAATGAAATAATAAAATAAAAATTTCAATATAAGATAGTAAGAAGCAGGTTTAACCTTGTATAAAATTACATGTGAGTTATGGTGAGAAACCATTCCAAAATGCCACAGAATATGACAAAAAATTAAAATAGTAAATGAAGATGATTAGCACAGGAAGTGAAAAAAATAAAGTAATAGGAATAAAAATAAAAATTAGATACAATTAAAGAAAACTTTTCTGAATTAAATAGTGAGCTTGGCCTACAAGTATCCCTTTATTCTTAAAGATCAAATATTTCACTACAATATGTTTAATTGTCATTTCAAATATAAAAGAATATCTTGCAAGTGTTCTATCAGGAAGTAATATAGTTTATCAATAAAAGGGCAAAAATAAGGCTAATCTGAGACATTTTCTCTGTAACTTGAAACATTAAAGAAAGTCTATAGAGTGTTATTAATAAAAACATTGTATTATAATTGAAGAATTTTATAATGGTTTGGTTTGTTTTTGACCTATTAAGCAACAGAGAATTCCAAGAAGTGTGAGTTTTTAAAATGTAAATTCTTAAGTAAACTGGACAAAGAAATATTTATCCTTCTCAGAAGTGAGTCAAAACTATATATTCAAAAAGGCAAAACTGATTATATAAAAACATAAGAAGTGAGCAATAAAATTAATTATACCGCAAACTCTGTGAGACTATCCTGTCCTTTTGCTAAGGTTTTTTTCCTCAATATGAACACAATGCCTGGCACAGAGGAGGTGCTCATAAAAGTATAAAATACATAAAACGATTGAAATAATTTTAAATATGGTTACTAAGTAAAATTCAAGCAAAATTTTGTAAAATCTGCTGTTTTTAATAATGTACAAAAATAGTCTAGGTGTATCAACAGATATTAATTTATCAACTACTTGAAGATGGGGTAAACGACAAGAGCAATGGAATTACCATAAATCACTTAATTTTATTGGTCTTTAAAAATGAAAGAAATGTCAGCTTAAATCTGAATTTTATAAATGTAATGGCAGTCACAAATAGAATTAAGAGCAGGACTTCAACTTCCTAAATCTTACAAATAATAAGTACAAATAAAATATTACATAAACTAGAAAGAACCCAAAAAAGAAAATAAGACTAAGAAAACAAAATTAAATAATAAAATTTCCAGTAACACAAAAATATAAATTAAACAATGAAGCAACTCTACTTGGCATATCTTCTGTTTAAAATCAAATCCTATTTCATGTTGTTTTTTGAAAAACTGGCCTCAAACCCGGGTGTGGTGGCTCACACCTATAATCCCAGCCCTTTGGGAGGCCGAGGAGAGTGTATCACTTGATGTCGGGAGTTCGAGACCAGCCTGGTCAACATGGTGAAACCCCATCTCTACTAAAAATATAAAAATCAGCCAGGTGTGGTGGCAGTCGCCTGTAATCCCAGCTACTCAGAAGGCTAAAGCAAGAGAATCACTTGAAACCTGGAGGAGAAGGCTGCAGTGAGCTAAGATTGTGGCACTGCACTCCAGCCTGGGCGACAGAGCTGGGCGACAGAGCTAGGCTCCATCTAAAAAAAAAAAAAAGAAAGCCTCAAACAATATAATCCAGATTGTGAAGAAGAAAAACAAAAAGTTTACCCCACAAACACAATGCATTAATTAATCAAAATTAATCAAGCTAGCAAGCTGCGATGTTAATATGCAAAAACAGTTAAGACAAATTGCATTAAGTAAGGACATGTTTAAAATAATAAAGGTGAAAAGTATATAAGAATGCAAACTCCGTAAAGGCAGGTATCCACATCGGTTTTGTTCACTGACTATCTTAAGTACCTAGAAGAATTATAGCCCAAATAAAGTTCTTGTGATAGCTGCTGTGGTGCACACCCCAGATCCCAGAACCCCACCTCAGAATGAAGTCCTCATCCCCACAGCTGCTGGCAGTGTTGGCAGTGCAGCATATTTCCTCTTAGGACTAGCCCTCAGCTTAACAAAGACACTTAGCTCAAGGCCATGCCTCCCTTCCTGTGCATGACAGACCAATTGAGGCGAGGATATAAAGGTAATACAACTTCACCCCAATTCCGGATAGCTCTGAAAGGCCATTACAGCTCCAGAGCTCCATGTAAGATCAGTCGAGGCTGTTGTAACTGCATCCCAGCCACATTTCTCTCTGTTCAATCTTGCTTCCTTCCTTCTTCAACAGGTACTGAACCTGAGATGAATCCTTAATAACTTTCTGCACAAAAGTCTCCATCACAGAGTCTCTTTCCCAGGTATCCTAATCCAAAACAGAGCTAAAAATATTGTTAAATTAATGATGTAAAATAATAATCATGATTGTTCATGAACTTTATAACTTCAAATCCGTAACCAAACACATCTGTGACTTATAGAGATACATATAAATATTTATAGTGAGAATGGATGCTATCTACTTACTTCTAACAGTATATGGTAGATCAGGAATATTAAGTGCAATATAAAGCCATAATGGAATAATTCCGTTACCTTTAATCTTTTTATACTTTTTTTCTCAATGACTATCCTTTATTAGCTTGCAGCCCCTAAGTGTATATTTTAATTTCTTCTTTAAAGGTAACTGTTCACGTAAGATCAACTTTGTATACATTTTAAAAAATCCATTGTACAGAGATTATAACTCCTTTCAGGTTTTTGAAAAGGTGTAAGATTCTTTGTTGCCCAGAATAGAATCCACTTTCCTAAGTATTCCTTAATGCTGGAAAAAAAAGCAACATTTGTTACATATGAGAGTGACTGGGAGACATTCTCAGAGATGTGCATTTCAGAAACATGCCTCCCTACACGTGTGGGCACAAGCAACATCACTGCACACTTTTATGTTACGAAAATTAGAACAAGTTCTAAATTTTTAGAATAACTCCTGGCTATCTGAAAACATTGTATTAGAAATACTATGCTCTATTTTTATGTGTTAGAGCAGATTTCTCATTCTAATTATCATGCAATAAAGAAAGGAACAACACAAATAATACTAAACAACATGAGCTGAGCCAACAGGAAACAAAGAAATTCTTGAGATTAAAACCAAGGGTCTTATTCCTCTGGGAAAAAGCCATTTTGTGTGTGTTGCGCTCAGAGCCACCACACTACATATCATCAGGGGACATGATTCACACTGCATTCGACTTGTTATTCTTTTGTGGCTTTGTTTTCTTTACATAATGCAAATATTTCCACATCTCTAAATCCATTTTATGTGCTTTATGCAACAATTTGCATAGAGTTGATTTCCTGTAAGTCAAGTGCTATATATTAGAAGAATGATCTATACATGTGTAATGAGGTAAAGATAAATTCTATTACCTTATATTCTATGCTAAGAGCGCATGCCTTTACTATAAGTATAGAGAAAGAGATAAAAACAAGGATAGAACCAGGAATTATCACTGCATTAATTCCTTTTTCTAATCAGTGACAGAGCTAATAGACAACAAAACACTGTAGATACTCAATGTAGTTGGATATTACAATGTGTTGTTTGGTTTCTTTAATTGCTTTAGACTGTATCTGCACCCGTATCACCATCTTCTACATCAGAGGAGGACAGGTTCTATATTATGTTAAGACTTATCATTCTTGCTATGCTTAACATGTCATCAAAGCTTCCATTTCAGTTATTATCCATTTTCCTGTGTCTGTGACAGACACCATAAGTTTGCACATCGCATCACTTATCCAAATTCTCCACTGTCTTTCCTGTCTCTCTTCTAAGGGCTATACAAACTTTAAAACTACATGATTTCTCAGCGTCCTTTTCTATATTGGTTGATCATGTGATATAGTTATGGTCAATGAGATTTAAAAGGATTTTCCAGGTGCCACCTTCCCTCTCCCTCCTTCTTCCTGCCTGAAAGGATGATGTGAGGCACAGAATACAGCAAGCGTGTGATTACAAGGCCATAAGCAAGAACAAAAAGGAAGCACAGGCTGCGCAGTGGCTCACACCTGTAATCCCAGCACTTTGGGAGGCTGAGGTGGGCGGATCACAAGGTCAAGAGATCAAGACCATTCTGGCCAACATGGTGAAACCCTGTCTCTACTAAAAATACAAAAATTAACTGGGTGTGGTGGCACACGCCCGTAGTCCCAGCTACTCGGGAAGCTGAGGCAGGAGAATCACTTGAACCTGGGAGGTGGAGCCGAGATCATGCCATTGCACTCCAGCCTGGTGACAGAGCCAGATGCCAAAAAAAAAAAAAAAAAAAAAAAAAAAAAGCACAGCAGGGATCATGAAGCAGAAGACTACAGAAATTTGGTCCCTAAATGACACAGTAGAGCTTCAGCAATCCATACTGCTGGGTAGATTATGTGGGAAGAAGAAACCTTTATTTCTTTTAGAAATGTAAGCTGTATTTTCTGTAAATTGCATACAAAAATATTCCTATATGATATGCTCAATCTCCTCTACTTTCCACATCCAGTCCTCAACTCCTGTAAATTCTCCTTTCTCAAAGTCAGTGTTGTTCTATACATGCATCATATTGGTTTAAACTCAGGCTATAGCTATTACTTGTTTTAATGTCTTAGAAAACTTTCTGTTCTTCCTGCCTGTAATAACAGACACCACCCAATCCACACTCATCATCTCACTAGTGTCTCTCAATTATTTTCAGTAGGAAGTCCAACATTATTATAATGACACATAAGACCATTAAACTGTCCTTTGCCTACCTCTCCAGTTTCATAGACATCAAAATGCTCCCCAACTTCGCACTTCAGTGTATCATCCTGGCCTCTTCATGCCTTTATGCATCCGTGCAGACTACTTGTTCAGCCTAGAATGCCTTGATTGTCACTCCCCTACACCTCGTCCTTATTTACTATTCTGAATCTTATTTATCTTTCAAGACAGAAAAGTCTTCCTTGATGCTGTACTTTACAATTATCAATACTACATGTTCTATCAGCACACTCAGGCTTAACATTACCATTGGCATTATTATGACTACCTGTTTGTTGTCTATCTTTACCAGCTGGTTCTTTGGATAAATTAGTATTTATTTATTTTTACTTCCATACACACAATGCAACCGCTGGCATATATCAGATGCTCAATAAATTGGAAAAACTAAAGGAATGAAAAAACAAATGTAATTAAAAGTGATTGGAATCATATATATTATCAATTAACTATATCAATAACTACATTTAAATTCTTACTAATTTCCCAGAGTAATTTATGTCTGTTTATATTTTGTTAAAACTACACCTTCATGCAACAGTGTAGACAGCACACGTATCATTTTACCCTGTGTGGCAGACAAGGAACTAAGGTAAAAAGAAGAGATGTGACTTCCATATTATAATAGAGTTAAAGATTAAAAATGAGGATTTAAATTTTACTTTAGCATATTTTCACTGTTATACAAATAGCTTTCTAGATCCTACACAAGAACACTCAAAATGTTTTATGTAATGTCATAAAAACATTTTTGTTGCAAATGTTACTGGTTAAAAATTGCATCTATAATAAAGTGCTACTCTTTAATAGCACTAGTATATAGTTCTCTTTATTTTAAAAACCACCTTATTTTGATTTTGATTTTCTTATTCTCAACACTGGCAATGAGATCTCCAAAGACTTGTCATTCAATTACATCTCCTACTTCAGATGGCAAAAAGTATGTCTCCTTAATATTATCTTTGCTGTTACAAAAATTAATGCTAAAAGAAAACATTCTTAAATACACAAACAAAATTAGAATCCTCTTAAGCAGTCACTTTTTGCCTGGATCATTGTAATAATCTCCTGCACAAACCTGTTCACCGTAGTCCATCCTGAAGAGCAGCCAGAATGATCCTGTTCAAATGTGTATTTGATCATGTCACTATTTAGCTAAAGTCTTTCCAATTATTCTCCATTTTTCTCAGAGTAAATGTCAGAATTCTTACAAAGTCTTAAATGGCCATAAAAGACCTGGCCTCACATTATTGCTCTTATCTCATCCGTTTTCTTTCCCAATTTTTCATTCTGCTCTAGGTACAGGGCTCTTCGTGTTTTGGAATATACCAGATATATGCCTGCCTCGGGGCCTGTGTCCTGGAAAGTACCTCTTCATGGAGTGTGCCTCAGATGAAGGCCTTATGATCATTTCCTTCATTTTTTCTAGCTTTTGCTAAAATGTCAGCTTAGCTACTACCGCATTGGAATTATAACCACTCTTCCAAGTATCTTTGCATTATGAAACAGTATTTGTCACCCACTAAAATGTGACATACTTTTCACTTTATTAAATTCTTCCTTGCTGTTTGTACTCCCCTCATCTCACACACACACACACACACACACACACACACACACACACACAAATATCATTTTATAAGGGCAATGAATAAAATAACTTTTGTGTACTGATGTAGTCTCAGAGACCAGAATAGTGTCTGGAATAGTACGTGCACCACAATTTTGGATGAATATATTAAACATTAAAATATAGACCTAAGAAGAAGACAAAAACAGAAGAAAAATCTCATAACAATACAATCCATTGCAAAATATTAGATTATCTGTCCTGGAGGAACTAATAATATAACATACCTTGCTCCCATTCAAAAAGTTGAGAAACTGAAAATATTGGGACCTTTATTTTATTTCATTGCTTTTTGAGAATGTTAAGTAGTTGCTCCACTAATCTTCCGAGTGAATGTTTTCTGAAAGCTTGTTAGAAAGGCAGAATTTTGTTTCCACTGCAGACTTACTAAATCAGAAATTACATATTAACACCCATGATTTGTATGCATCTTGAAGTTTGAAAAGCACTAACCTCAATCAATCAAAGTTTCAAAGTTGAAAAGCAAGAGTGTAACCTAACAATGCAACCCTTTTAATAGTGGTTTACCAGTGGACAGTGGAAGCAGGCTATTCTGGGCATAACCAATTATTTAGAACTTACACTACCACCCCTTCCAAATTATTTGAAGGAAGGAGCAGGATTTTATCAGTGGCATTGTGTAGAACTGTTAACATGCTAAAAATGAAAACTGATTTTAGTTAGCTTTATTTTTTTCAAATTCTCAATATGCACTCTCTTCCCTTAATGCTTGCACCTATAGTAGACCACCCCCACTGCTCTACTCTTGGTATGTCATGGCTTATGGAATATTTTGTTGTTGTTGCTGTCATAAATGTTTTTCTTATGTGATACTATTTTCCACACATGTAAATTTTTTTCAACGTGGATGAAAAATGGCCATTATAGTACACACTATCTTCCCGACATAATCCGGTATCACACAAAGAATGGTGAGCAAGTCTGGAAAATGCAGGGTACATTTCCAGATCTCCTTACTTTCACCTAAATGTTCATAAAACTGATTCCATAACAATGTCAATTTCCAAGTCCATCACGGGTGATTGAGTAGTGGCGAGTAAAAAAATGAGAGGGGTCAATTTGCATGTTATTTACAACTAAGACCTTTGCTTGGCATCTCTAGCAACTCCCCCAGTTTACCCAGGTGTGCATGTACAATAGGAAAGGGTAAGTGGAGGAAGCGAAGAGTGATGATAACTCTCACCTGATTTGCCTCTGTTTCATCAAGCCTCCATGATTATGGTGTTTTGTTGTTGTTATTAACAAAGAAGATGGAAACAGCTGTTTTGAAACATTTAAAAACTGCCTCCACCCTTGACAAACAACATAGATTTCCAAGGCATTTTTTATGCCATGTAAAAAGATTTTTGGAAATTAGAAAAAAAAGTTAATTTTACTCAGTTCTTTTTTAGTATGCATGCATTTTCAGCCACTCACATTTTCTTTATAAATCAAGTAGAGCAAATTTATTGCCTGTGGAGAGTAAAATGAATAGCATTTTCAAGAATATGAATAAAGCAGCCAGTATGCATGCTTTCAACCCAGCTTGATCAGCGCTTTCCAGCTCTGGCTGCAAAGAGTAGGTGCTGCATTTTAGAGGAAAGCCTCCTCAAATGAACCCTACTCCAGGAGAAGTTGTCATAGACAAAAGGCCAGTTCTGTCTCCTCCATCTCTGTCATTTATCTCTCCTCAAGTCTCTCCATCATAGCATTACATTGTACCATGAGATACATTTGAGATAGAATTATAGATGTGGGCTACTCATCTGTGCTTTTAGCACCATATCCATCACAAAGAATTTATGTGTTGCATTTGTTTTATTGCAAGGAGGCTTCTTCAGCCTTCTCTTATCTCACCCTGCATTTTATAATTGAAAAAAAGAGCCTCATCAACATGCTGCTAACAGTAGTGGGGTGAATAAAATGGCATTGCCAAGTAGTAACCCATCTCTTTAGTTGATCTAACAAAGCCAACAAAAGAAACATGAGAATCTATAATTAATTTCCAATTTACGTTTCAGTAATCCATGGATAATAGTGCCTAAAATGTGAAGAATTTTGTTGATGATTATCCATATGATTATTAGAGGCCTGCACTTGCAGAAGAATTAGGGGTGAGACACTTTTCAAATAGTAGGTGATTTTGTGCCAGAGGACCCTTGTTTAGGGCTAGTCCAGGTTAGGGTTGGTTTTCCCGGAAAGGTTAGTGGAAAAGCTGTTTTGTGAAACTGAACAGATGACTTCCAGTTATGGCAACTCTGAATAATTTTATGACTTGAAAAATAATTTTAAACAAATGATGGATCATGAAATCTTGTTTACAATCAAGAAAATATTGAAGGATGTAATCTGAGAATTTTATGTACTTGTTAAGTGTGATGGGTGAATTAACTAATAAATGTTTTATTATAAATATTTCCTCTAAAAACAGTAATATGTGGGTTTTCCCTGAACAATATATTGTAAACCCAAGCTTATATCATAAACTCTTCTGCCCACTCTTCTATGCCACATGTAGAATTAGGAACCAAGTAAAAACACATGAGGCACATGGGGCACAGCAGGATCCCCGTGTTTGTTAGACAGTCAGTATATATATATATATATATATTTTTTTTTTTTTTTGCCCCTGGAGTTCACAATCTAGTGAAGTAAATAAGACACATGCTAAAATGTAACAAAAAGCACAATGGCTGTTTATGATTGCATTGGTCTGATTGCAGATAATAAATGCTATAGTATTTAGAATTACAAAGTTATTTCATTAAAGAAGATATGAAAGCTTCAGTCATACACGTAGAGGAAAACATGCAGATATCCTTGGAATGACAGAAAGTTTGCACTTAAAGGACTTTAGACCTACAGTCTGAGACCAATATTTGTAGGAAGATAAGCAAAAACAGAAAGTAGCATAAGGCTTAAAGGTCTTCCTTCCATGTTTCCCTTCTCTTAAGGAAATGCTACTTCTGTTATGATATCTGGCTAATGTGAGAGACATTTGTGACTTTGCCTTCAGCTGTTTCCTCAGTGGCCTTTACTGACATTTCATTTCCTGTAAAATTCCTACTAAATCAGTCTTTTGAGTAACATTTGGCTCATAAGTTACACACATTTGGTCTTGAAGGAAAGTTTTCTTGGACTTCACAGCTGAGTTTACACCTCTAGGAGGACTCTTGTGGAATGTGAGTGAACGTAACAGGGAAAGCAAATGCTGGAATATCTGTAAAGGGTAACTGAACATATGACAGCACCATAATGTCAACAGATAAAGGCAGTGGGGCATTTTATATAAAATATGAATGGTACAACATATATTCGCTGCCTATCTTGCATGTTTATTCAACACTAATTGAACAAATATTACTGAGGGCTAGCGATGTGCAAGACACTATTCTAGACTTTAGAGATAAGCTGTGGACAAAACAGTCAAAGCCTCTGCTTAGTGGGGCTTACATTCTAGTTGGAAAGGCAGAGAATAAAACAAACAAAAAAATAAATCCGCTCCAAGCCAGATGATAACAAATTGTTAGAATAAAATTACAGCAAGATAGGAATAAGAGACAGACATGAGTGTGATGTGATATATAGGGTTTTCAGGAAAGTTTTCCTGGTAAGGCAACATGTGAACAGATCCTGAATGAGTGATGAAGAAAAATATATCAAAAAATGGGGGAAACTTATTCTAGGCAGTGCAGAAAGCCAGTATTGTGACCACAAGTGAGGCAGGAGTGAGTTTGGCATGTTTGAAAAAGAATGACAGAGCCAATGTGGCTGGATGGGGTGAGGTGAGGAAAAGGGGGCAGGAGATGAGATCAGAAAGAAACAATAGAGTGGGCAAAAATCAGATTAATGGAATTTCAGAACAGCTTCACTTGACTCCAACTCTGCTGGAATAATTCATTAAAGATCTACTCCATACTCACTGAGAGGAATATAGGATTAAGTGTGCAAATGCCTCTGCCTTCCTAGAGTTCACAGTATTAAGAGTGAGACAAACAAGAACAAAATTGGAATATAGTGTGATATCTTCTCTTCTAGGTACAAGCTCAGATTGCCAGGGCACACTTAGAAGAATGTATATAAATTTTCCTGGTGCAATCATGGAAGGCTAATTAAAGCACATGACACATAGGCTGAGCTTTGTAGGACAAATTAGAGTTTGTGAGTTGACCAGTGAGATGAAAATTATGCCAGGCTGCCTGAATGGTTTATTCAGAATTACAAAGGCATAGGCAGGCATTGCAAATTGAACTTGAGAGGTGTAGTGGAAAAGCAAAAAGCACTGGAGCCAGACAACAGTTTGAATGTTATCTCTAAAACAGAGAACGTTATTTAAACTCCCTTGAGAAAGAGATTTATAATACTGCCTACCCTGTAGAATCATTGTGATGTTTGGTGATGCTAAATATAAAGTGCCTGGTTTCTATTCCATGAACAGTAAATCATAATTATTGTTTTCACATGCAGAGCTGTCATCTTGAAGATAGATATAGGGTTGGTTTCATTATTTTATTCTCAGACTTTGTTCAGAATCTGAAACAGAGTTGGTGCTCCATGAATATTTAGTATATAATGAATGAACTGGCACAGTTCCTGATTCCTTTAAGTTGCAATAATCCAGGTGATGGAGGCTAAAAAACTGAATTAAGACAATGGTAGTGGAAACAGGAAAAAGGGGAGATAATTCAGAGATATCTAAGCGATAAAAGTAAGATAATTTGTTACTAGTTGGATATGAAGGAGAAGAAAAAGTCAAGGATAACTTCAAGGTTGACAATTGAGTAACAGGAAGAATTTTGGTGACAGTCACTAAAATAGGATAATCAGGAGGACTAGATGCTGGCTTCAGTTGTATAGGAAGAGAAAAAATGAGGCCAAGTTGATTTGATAATCTTGAGATATCTACAGTCCATGGAGGTGGAAAAGCCTGTGGGCAATCAGAAATAGAGTCTGTTACTCAGAAAATAGATACATTGGCATTAATTGAAGCCTTTTTATAGATGAAATTTGGAAGATGGATTATTACAGAAGTGGATGAAGAGGGACAAGAATGTGTTCCAGATAATATTGGTATTTAAGAGGCAAGCATAAAGAAAACAAATCCCTTGAAAAAATTTCATGACTTCACAGAGAATTTAGAGAATCATGAGAAACTGGAATTGCTTTATAACTTACTTTTTTCATGCATTTACAGGTAAACAGTGCAAAGCATAGTTTGTTATAGCTTGAGTATTCTCTCGTTGAACTCTCTAACTTAAATCACCTTAATGGCACATACTCTAAGAGTTCATAATGGTGTATGAGAAATGAGACATGATCAATGATAGTAAGACTCATAACTCAGAAGACAAAGCTCTATTTGATTTCTGTGATTTAAACATTATGTTTCTATGATTTAAACATTTGTCCCATTTTCATATTGGACATTCAACTTAATGTTATTTCATAGGTAATGAGCAGACAACTCAGATAAGTGATATTATTGAAGGAAACTTTTCCTGGTAGGTACCATTTATATTATCTGCTCATTTTCAACCTTTATTCAGTTAGGTAAGATTAAAGGTTTCTATCATGTTCTGATTAAGCTTGAATACATTATTTGATACTAATCCAGATAAGGCAGTCATTAACACTTAAAAAAAGTTGGAAGATCTGTAGCCAAAATACCAACTTTTTTGTCATAGCATTCATTCAGTAATTGTGCCTGAACATTTCTTCAGTTGCTTAAAAACAGTTTTTATTTTCAAAATGCATATACTCCTATATTATTTTAATTGATTATAATTTGGTGTTTCAGTGAGTTGGGACTAAAATTCATTAAACTGTATTGTTTCACTGTAAAGAGTAGCTACTATAGGAGTGTTAGCAGACATTCCATATTCATTTGAAAAGTACAATGCTGAAATTATCATAACAATGTGATCCCAATATTTCTAAGCATGATTTTTACAAAAGCATGGTCTGGAAAAGCTTAAATATCAGTGAAAGCAAATGTAAGCATCCTGGTGCAAGGCCTTCATTACTGACCTCACATTCGTTTTGACATTAGAGTTAATTTGTCATAAATTGCTGACAAAATGAAATCAAGAATCCTCTACCAAGTGAACAAAGGTTCCTTGTTTGTTTTTTTCTATCAAAAAAGAAAATTTTCCAATTATTATAAAGTGTAATTTTTCTAGATAGGACTTATGTATGCTAATTACAAATGAACACATACAAGCAAAAACAGATTTTGTTTGGCCAAAAATTGAGAAGAAACAAAATTAAGCTGATCAGTAGTAAAAACAGAAGGTAACATAAATCAAGAATGGGAAAACAGATAAATAAGCTGAAAGTTAGTTTTGGGTTGTGAGTTGTGACTTTTAAGAAACATTTTGAAACTGACTTCATTAACAGGAGGTGGAAAAGAAAATTACACACTGAATTAGTTAAACATTTCAAAGTAATTTCTTCCATGAGGGATATTTCAAATTAAAAACTACATATTTGTCGTTAATCTTTGTTAGGGAAATGGGATTGATGAGTCTTACAATGTAAAGGGAAGGAAAATGTTTAGTATTTTTCATGAAAATAATGGAACTTATAGTAAGTACAGAGTAAAAGAAGGAAATCTGGAACTTATAGTAAGTACAGAGTGATGCTCTACCCTAGTATTTTGCAGCTTCACTCTACAAAAAGCTGCAGTCACAGCAAAGAAGGCAAGAGATGCTAAAATTCTGAAATAAAACATGCTTTCTTTCAGGCCAGAGGGCTGGGAGAGAGGAGCCTGGAACAAATTAGGGGACCCAGAGCCTTTTATGGTTCATATTTTCATCTTCTCTATGAGACACTATTACCTACCCAATTTCACATGGTTTTTATTTCCTGTTTTTTTCCCTAGGAAACTTATACTTTTTAAATTTAGGACTATGAATATACATACACACATGCACATACATACATACATATGAATACATGTATATATACATACACATACATATGTATATAAATATATAAAATGTCTAAGAATCTAAAATATCTTAAAAACAAATCAAAATTGATGATCTATAAATACCTGACTAATATTTCTAATATTTCTTTTTTTTTTTTTTTTTTTTTTTTTTTGGAGACACAACCTTGCTGCCACCCAGGCAGGAGTGAAGTGATGTGATCTCCACTCTCTGCAACCTCTACCTCCTGGGCTCAGGGGATCCTCATGCCTCAGCCTCCCAAGTAGCTGTTATTGTCATTATAGGCATGTGCCAACACACCTGGCTAATTTTTGTATTTTGTTAGTAGAGACGGGGTTTTGCCATGTTTGCCAGGCTGGTTTCAAATTCCTGGCCTCAAGTAATCTGCCTGCCTTGGCCTCCCATTTCTGCAATTACAGATGTGAGCCACTGCACCCAGCCAATATTTCTTAAAACTCTCAATGTCATCACAAATAAGGAAAGTCTGAGAATATGTCACAGGCCAGAGGAGCATAAGGAAAAATAATATCTAAATGACACTTGGTATCCTGGATGGCATTCTGGAACACACAAAAAAAATAGGTAAAAACAAAGAAAATCTGAATATAACTTTAATATTAATGTATCAATATTTATTAGTTTCTAATAATATATCATACTAAATTAAGATATCAATAATAGGAGAAACTAGATGTAGAGTATATGAAACTGCATTATCACCACTATTTCTCTATAAATTTAAAACTATTCTAAGAAATAAAGTTTATTACAAAAATTAAAGAAGTCATCAACCAGCCAATCATAATATAAAATTTCACATACATTTCTCAATAATTGTTAGAAAAACTAGACAAAATCAAAAGACTTCTAGTATTTAAATCATTTCCAAACATCATCATGACATACATAATTGATATTTTCAAAATTATAATCCACCAACTACAAAATGAAGTTTTTTTTTTCAGATGCACAGTTTATTTACCAAGATAGACTATATTGTAGACCATAATAAAGGTCTCAATAAATTTTAAGAAGACCCAAATCATACAGAGTATGTTCTGTGAACATAGTATAATTAAATTTGAAATAAATATCATATATCTAGGAACATTCCAATTTTATACCGATTTAATAATATACTTCTAAATAATCACAAAGGTAAAATAAAAAAGGCAATATAAATCATTATGACATTGAGTTTGGGGTCAGCAAGATGGCAAATAGTTTTTCCACTCATATTCCCTCCATAGTAACAATAATTTGGCAGTGATTCATGGAAAAATTTTCTTCATGGGAACTTCGGAATCCAGTTATAACTTATGAAACCCCAGTAGAGCCCAAGACCAGGAAGGACCATTTTGAGAACACAGGCCCATGCCTTAGTGGCAGCCTCACTAATTATGGCCCCAGCTACAAACCCTGAAACAGCCCTGTCTTAGAGCAGACTCAGCGAAAGCCCCATTTGGCCTTGGTCCTGCTACCAGCACTATCTGCCAGGGAACGCAGGAGTAATATCCACTAATGCTCCTATAGGCAGATCTGCTAGCATTGATCTGACTGCAGATCTTAAAGAGGTCCTGTAACCTGGATCTAGACCTTCCCAGAAGTCCTGCCTGACCAAGAACCTGATGGGAACATATCCATCCATGCCCCTAAAGGCAGACCCACTGACTCCGGTCCAACTTTTTATCTTGACGTGATCCTATAATCAGGCTCCAGCCCCAATCAGCCATAGTCGGGGAGTGGTCCTGCCTCCCTGGGGACTTGGAGGGAGGCATACCCATCAGTACTACCATATGCATCCCTGCAGACCTAGGTGGGCCTGAAAGCAGCCCTGTGGTTCAATTCGGGACTGCTCAGCTATGATCCAAGGCAGGTCCTGCCTGCTTAGAGACACACCTAGTGATCTGATGGGAATCTTCTCAGGGACACAGCAGGAACCACACCTATTTGTACACCTTGTAACAGGCTCACCATTTGCAGACCTCACTGTAGATCCTGAAGTAGACTGTTCTCTCAGTGCCAACTCTACTGATCCAGGTCCTAGAGGCATCCAGATAGGACTTATGACCACTTTAGCCTCTGGTAACAGGCTCATCAACTGTAAACCCCACTGCAGAACCAGCAACAGCCACATAATATGGCTTTAATTTCATTCAATTGTAATATTAGAAGCAATCCTATCAATTCACGGATTCAGCAGGAGATGGTATATACATGCAAAAACTATTCTATAGAGACTGGAAGAGGTATTATCTCTTCAAATGCAGAGACAACAATACAAGACTGCATAGATTACAATGAATCAGGCAAACATTACACCACCAAAGGAAACTAAGAAAACTTCAGCTATCAAATCTGGACAACTAGAGATCAATGAATTGTCTGATTAGGAATTAAAATAAATTAAAATAATAAAAGTCTCAATCAATTTTAAAAAGACCCAAAACATAAAGAGTATGTTCTTTCAACACAGTATTATTAAAATGGAAATAAATATCATATATCTAGGAATATTCCAAATTTATATAAATTTAATAATACACTGCTAAATAATCACTTCTAAAATAAATAGTACCCTTCTAAAAATAAATTAAAATTTCATTACTAAGTGAAATTAGAAAAACAATCTATGAAAAAAAATAGAAGTTTAATAAAGAAACAGAAATGATGATAAAGAACCAAACAGAAATTTCAGAGCTGAAGAATGCACTGAATGAACCAAAAAGCGTAACAGAGAGCTTCAGCAGCAGACGGTCATGCAGAAGAAACAGCGAACTCAAAGACAGGTCATTTGAAATTAGCCAGTTAGACAAATAGGAAGAAAAAAGAAAAAGTGTCAAGAGAGATTACAGGCCATATGGAATACCATCAAAAAAACAGATATACACATTATGGGGTTTTCAGCAGTAGAAAAAAAGATAAAAGGGAGGAAAGCTTGCTTAAAGAATAATGGCTGAACACTTCCCAAATCTTGCAAGAGATACAGATATCCAGATTCATGAAGTTCAAAGGATATCAAGTAAAATCACCCTGAAGATTACTCGAAAGTGCAATATAATCAAAATTCAAAATCAAAGAAAGAGAATTTGGAAAGCAGCAAGTGATAAGCACATCCAAGGAAACCTCAGTAAGACTATCAGAAGATACTGTGCAAGCCAGGAGTGAGTGGGATGATATATTCATAGTGGTGAAAAAAAAAACTATTTCAAACCAGAATACTATTACCAACAAAATTGCCCTTCAGAAATATAGATAAATGGAAGCTGAGAAAGTTCATCACCAGTAGACCTGCCATATAGGAAATGAAGAAGGGAGTTCATCAAATTGAAACAAAAGGATGTTAAGTAACATGAAACTTGAAAATACAAAAATTTCTGGTGAAAGTAAATATAAAATCAAATTCAGAATACTCTAATACTCTAATGCAGTAATGATAATGTGTAAATTACTTTTAATTATACTATAAAAGTTTAAGGCCAAAGGTATTAAAATATAGCTACAGTAATTTGTTAACAAATATACAATATAAAATATGTAAAATGTGACAGCAGTGACATAAAAATGTGGGGAAGGGGTGAAAGTGTAGAGTTTTTGAATAGTGTTTATTGTATTAGCCTAAAATTGACTGTTAAAACTATAAAATGTTCAATGTAAGCCTCTTGCAACATATGCAAAACAATAAATGTGATACACCAAATTAATAGAATGTGAATAAAAACCACAAAATCATCTCATTAGATTCATAGAAAGCATTTGATGAAACTCAGCCTCCTTTCATAATAAACACTCTCAGTAAATTAGATATAGAAGGAAGGTGCTAACCTCCCCCCCATACAAAAAAAACACTAGTAGTAGATATACATAAGACAAAGAGATAGACATCAAAATATACCACTAAAAAGTCAGTAAATAACAAAGGTAGACAGCAAAGGAGGAAGAAATGAACAAATGAATTACAAATAAAAAATAAAATAGAAAACAATGAATAAAATGACAATACCTTTCCCTTACCTACCTTAATGATACCTTACAAATACCAATGTCTTACCTATCCATAATTACTTTAAATATAATGAATTAAACTGTCCAACCAAAAGATATAAAGTGGCAGAATAAATCAAATAAACAAGATCCAACAATATGCTGCCTACCGGAAGCTCACTTTAGCTTTAAGAACACACACAGTTCAAAAAGAGAAGAGATGGAAAAAGACAGTCCATGCAAATGGTAACCAAAGAGAGCAGGGGTGGCTATACTTATATCAGACAAAATGGGCTTTTAGTCAAAATGTGTCACAAGAGACAAAAAAGGTCACTATATGAAAACAAAATGATCAATTCATAAAGAAGATATCACAGTTTTATATATATATATATATATACACACACACACATATATATATATATATATATATATATACACACACATATATATATATATACACACACACATATATATGCACCCAATATGGGAGCAACCAAATATACAAAGCAAATATTAACAAAACTGAAGGAAGAAATACACAGCAATGTAATAATAGCAAGAGACTCAATACTCCACTTTCACCAATAGATAGAATATCCAGACCGAAAACCAATAAGTAAGCAATAGACTTGAACAATATGGATCAAATGGATTTGACAGACATATAGAGAACATTCCATCCAATAGCAGCAGAAAAGACATCCTTTTCATGCACACACAGAACATTCCCCAGGATAGAATATACATTTGACCACAAACAAACCGTAGCATATTTAAGAAGACTGAAATCATATTGAGTATCTTTTCTGACCACCATGTTATAACTAAAAATCGATAAGGTGATAATATTAGAAAATTCACAAAACAATACTCTCCTGAATAACCGATGAGTCAAAGAAACAACTGAAAAGGAAATAAAATAATATACTGAGACAAACAAAATTGGAAACCAATATATAAAAGCTTATGGAATATTGCAAAAGCAGCTCTATGTGGAAGTTCATGGTGATAAATGCCTCTGTTAAGAAAAAAGAAAGATCTTAAACAACCTAATATCACACCTCAAGGAACTAAAAAAAAAGATGAACAAACTAAGTTGACAGGTAGCAAAACTATGAAAATAATAACAATTAGAGTAGAAATAAAATTAAATAAAGACTAGAAAGACAATAGAAATGATCAAGAAATCATTGTTTGAAAAAATAAACAGAATAAACAAATCTTTAGTCTAAGAAAAAGATAAAGAGAACTCAAATAAATGAAAGCGCAGACATTACAATTGATACCACAGAAATAGAAAGGATCATTACAGACTACTGTAAATAATTATATGTCAACAAATTGGATAAGCTAAAATAAATGGATAACTGCCTACAAGATTGAATCATGAATAAATAGAAAATGTAAACAGATCAATAATAAGGAGATTGATGCAGTAATTAACAAAACTTCCGAAAAGAAAAGACCAGGAACAGATGGCTTCATAAGTGAATTCTAATAAATATTTAAAGATGAATTAATATCAATCCTTCTCAAACTCTTTCAAAAAACTGAAGAAGAGAGAAAATTTCCAAATTCATTTTATTAGTCCAGCATTACCATATACAAAAGCCAGTTAAAGACACTACAAGAAAATAAAATTATAAGCCAATGAACAAGGATGAACATAGCAAAAATTGTAAGGAAAATACTAGCAAGCCAAAGTCAACAGCACATTAAAATAATTATAACCAATTTATCATTGGCATGTAAGGATAGTTCAACATATGCAAAACAATAAATGTGATATGCCACATTAATAGAATACAGAATAAAAACCACAAGATCATCTCATTAGATTCATAAAAAGCAATTCACAAAAATCAACCTCCTTTCATAATAAACACTTTCTCAGTAAACTAGATATAGAAGGAAAGTACCTCAACATATTAAATGCTGCATATTACAAGCCCATAAATAAAATGCATCCAAACTGGAAAAGAAGTAAAATTATTTCTGTTAACAAGTAACATGGTCCTATATGTAGAAAACTGTAAGGACTACAACAAAAAACTATTGGAGTGAATAAATGAATTTAGCAAACTCTTAGGACACAAAATTAACATATAAAATTTAATTGTTTCTATATATTAACTATAAACTATCTGAAAAAGAAATGAGGATAACAATTTCATTTATGATAGCATCAAAAAGAAAAAAAATACTGAGAAATAAATATAACCAAGGATGTGAAAGACCTACACCTAAAAACTAGAGCACATTGATGAAAAAAGTTAAGAGACATAAACACTTGAGAAGCTGTCACATGTTTTGGCATTGGAAGAATTAATAATGGGAAAGTGCCCATATTATGCAATCCCTATCAAAATTCCTATGGCATTTTTCACAGAAATAGAGAAAATAATTCTAAAATTCCTATAGAACTACAAAAGACTCCAAATAGTCAGTGCAATCTTAGTAAAGAAGAAAAAACAAAAGACATTGCAATTCCTGATTTCAAATTTAATTATAAAATTATAGTAATAAAAACAGTAAGGTACCAGAATAAAAACAGACACTCAGTCCAATGGAACAGACTGGATAGCCCAGAAGTAAACCCATGCATACACAACTAACTAATCTTTGACAAGGACCCAAAGAATACACATTGGAAAAATGATAGTCTCTTCAATAAATGGTGTTGAAAACACTGGATATCCATATGCAAAAAAAAAAAAAAGAAAAAAGAAACTGGATCCCTATTTTATACACACACAAAAAAATTAACTCAAAATGGATTAAAGACTTCAGTGTAAGACCTGAAACTGTAAAACCATAAAAATTCTTAGAAGAAAACATAAGGAAAAAGCTCCTGGACATATTGGTTTTGGAAATCATTTTCTTGGATATGACACCAAAATCATGGGCAGCAAAAGCAAAAATAAATGAGCAGACTACATCAAACTAAAAAATCTTCTGTATGGAAAAGGAAACCATGAATAAAATAAAAAGGCAACCTATGGAATGGGAGAGAATATTTTCAAACCATATATCTGATAAGGGTTAATGTCCAAGATATATAGGAAACTCTTCAAGTTGATAGCAAAAAAACAAATAACCCAATTAACAAATGGGAAAAGGAACTAAATAAACATATTTCAAAAGAAGCTAATGGGTTAACAGGTATATGAAAAAGTGCTCAAAATCACCAACAATCAAGGAAATGCAAATCAAAACCATAATGAGATATTGCCTCACGGTTAGTAGACTGTTAACAAAAAGATAAAAACAAAATAAGTGAGAAAGATTTCACAATCAAGACACCAAAAGCAATTGCAACAAAAGCAAAAATTGACAAATGGGATCTAATTAAACTAAAGAGCTTCTGCACAGCAAAAGAAACTATCAACAGACTAAACAGACAATCTACAGAATGGGAGAAAAGTTTTGCAAACCATGCATCTAACAAAGGTCTAGTATGCAGTATCCACAAGGAACTTAAATTTATAAGAAAAAACAAACAATCCCATTAAAAAGTGGGCAAACAATACGAACATACAAATTTCAAAAGAAGACATGCATGCAACCAACAAACATATTTAAAGGGCTCAATATCACAGATCATTAGAGAAATGTAAGTCAAAACCACAATTAGATACCATCTCACATCAGTAAGAATGGCTATTTTTAAAAAGTCAAAAAATAACAGATGCTGGCAAAGTTGGGGAAAAAAGGAAGTGCTTATACACTGTTGGTGAGAGTGTAAATTAGTTCAACCATTGTGGAAAGCAGTGGCTATTCCTCAAAGAGCTAAAAACGGAAGTATTATTTGACCTAGCAATCCCATTACTGAGTATATACACAAAAAAATATAAATCATTCTACTATAAAGACACATGTACATGTATATGCATTGCAACACTATTCACAATAGCAAAGACATGGAATCAACCTAAATGCTCATCAGTGGCAGATTGGGTAAAGAAAATGTCATACATTTACACCATGGAATACTATACAGCCATAACAAAGAACAAGATCATGTCCATTGCAGGGACATGATGGAGCTGGAGGCTATTATCCTTAGCAAACTAATGCAGGAACAGAAAACCAAATACCACGTGTTTAGTGGGAGCTAAATGATGAGAACACATGGACACAAAGTTGTGGAACAACAGACACTGGGGCTTACTTGAAGGTAGAGGGTGGAAAGAGGGAGAGAATCAGAAAAAAATAACTATTGGATACCAAGCTTTTTACCTGGGTGATGAAATAATCTATACAACAAATCTCCATGATATGAGTTTCTCTATATAACAAACCTGTACATGTACCCTTAGACCAAAAGTAAACGGTTTTTTTTTTTAATATAAGTGTTGGCAAGGTTGCGGAGAAAACACAACCCTTGGTGTCCAACTATAATAAAAAACTGTATGCAAAATCCTCAGAAAATTAAAACTGAACAATATAATTAAGCAATCCCACTACTGAATATATATTCAAAGGAAATGAAATCAGTATCTTAAAGAGATACCTGCACCTCCATGTTCATTACAGCAATATTTACAAGAGATGAAATATGGAAACAATCTAAATGGCTATCAACAAATAAATGGATAAGAAAAAAATGCATGTGGAATACAAACAGGCACACATGTACATACACACACAATAAAATATTAAATGTTTATTGTAAGCATTTTGCAACATATGCAAAGCAATAAAAGAAAAAAGAAAGAAAGAAGTCCTGCTATTTGCAACATTGATGAACCTAGAGGACATCACGCTAAGTGAAAAAGCCAGGCACAGAAAGACAAATACTGCATGATCTCACCTATACATGGAATCTAAAAAGTTGAATTCACAGAAGCAGAGAGGGAATGGTGGTTGATAGGGGCCAGCGGGTGAGGACATGGGGAGATATTGGTCAAAAGGTGCAAACTTTCAGTTATAAGATGAATCATTTCCAGTAATCTATTATATGACATGGCGACTACAGTTTGTAATGCTGTATTGTGAACGTGAAATTTGCTAAGACATTAGATCTTATTGTTCTCACCACACACATTGTATTAGTCAGGGTTCTCTAGAGGGATAGAACTAATAGGATAGATGTATATATAAAATTTATTAAGGAGTGTTAACTAACCTGATCACAAGTTCTCACAATAGGCCAATGGGCAAGCTGAGGAGCAAGGAAGCCAGTCTGAATCCCAAAGCTGAAGAACTTGAAGTCTGATGTTCAAGGGCAGGAAGCATCCAGCATGGGAGAAAGATGTAGGCTTTTCTTCTGTCTGCTTTTGTTCTAGCCTTGCTGGAAGCTGATTAGATTGTGCTCACCCAGATTGAGGGTGAGTCTGCCTTTCCCAGTCCACTGACTCAAATGTTAAGCTTCTTTGGCAACACCATCACAGACACAACCAGGAACAACACTTTGCATCCTTCAATCCAATCAAGTTGGCACTCAGTATTAATCATCACACACATACTTATGTGATGTGATTGATATGTTAATTACCTTGAGTTGGGTAACATTTCACAATGTGTTTGCATATTAAAATATTACATTGTACACCTTAACTGTATAAAATTTATATTTGTCAATTAAATCTCAATAGAAAAAAGAAAATTGTGCTTTATTTGCAGCATTTCTTGAATTTCAACAATATTGAATTAGTTTACCAATTTAAGTTATGTGATAATACGTGATGAAATATATTCTAACTACTTCAGTATGTTCATTGCTGAAACAGGTATACAAAGGTTTACACCAGAATAAAAACCGTGTGAATTTCAAACTGGAACTTAAGTGAGATCAATGACATTACCCATTGCCGCTTAGGGAACACTATTCAGCTTTAATTAAATATTCCTTGGAAACGCATGTTCACTGATGTCTACAAAAATTAGAGATTTATTTTGGAGGAAACATTATATATGTTAGAGCTAAAATCCATTTAGAAAATATTACATCTTTTGAAATCATAGGTAATTATAAATATTGTACAATTTATTTGACAGATATTTATTTAGCTATGTTGATTCTTAATTAGATATGCATGAAGTATTAAATCTGTGAGGATATTTGTGTTTGTGTGTATGTTGGCATTGTGAGAATATTGGTCTGTTTCCTTGTTTATTATTGGAGAAATTATCCAGAGAATCCTCTGGTATATTTGCCACCAGTGACAATTAGAATGAATAAAACATAAGAATTCAGGTCTGCTGTTTTCAAAGTTTTTAAGCAACTCAAGACATTTCTAATTTATTCATGTATTTTGTTTTAATTTAATTTATATTTATTTAGTATGTATTAGAAGAAAAAAGTGTCAGAAGTCTCAGAAGCTGTTTTTTCCCTGAAATATTTTAGGAGTCTATCATTAGCCTAAGAGCTGAAGACTTAATGGAATGGGCATATGGAAACTGTCTTGAACTCTCTCTAACTTTTTGCTAACTTCCTTTACTTTTGCTTCTTTAAACTATCTGCTGCTCTTTTCACCCATTTCAGTACTAAATTTTGTATCATTTTGACTCTGCCTTGATAATAAGCATTATCAGTCTTCCACTATCCCATTCATTTTTTGCCTTTTGGTAAAAACCTTAAAATTGTAACTTTCATTTATCTATGATCATAATTTTCTACCCTGAAGAAAATACAGGCATTTCAGATATAGAAAGATGGCTAGACCAGCCTAAATTACGTTTACACAACTGCGAGAACTGTCTTTTCAAAGCACCTCACACACTTATTCAGGCTCTCATTTACCAAATATTTCATACCAAATGCAGGTGGCTGGGCTTAAGTTGATCTCAGTTTTAGAATAGAATATTGTATTGGGATAAATAAGTCAGCCCATTTAGCAATCATGCTCTAATTGAGTTAGCTTACTTAGCCTAGCTATAAAACACTAAAACATAAATAAACATAAATGTCTAACGATTTTGACATTTTTAGAGTTTTTTTTGTTATGTTCAGGTGCTTATTTGACATTATAGAATGTATCAGCAGGGACCAAATTGCAAAATCAAAAGTAACCACATTTCTCACTTCAACTGTAATTCCTCCTTACTCTTAGTCACACTAATTCCCCATTTAAGGATAAATTCAACACCCATGATTAAAAAAATTTAAAGGTGGTGTCTTAACTAAGGACTATCTCTCGCCCCAAAATAAGTAAAAATAAATTACTCATTTACATATTTATATTTGACCAGCTCAGAAGACTAGCACTTAGTACCTGAATATGAAATGTATGAAACATATGAAATATATGTTGGCAGAGTCATCCAATAAATTAAAATTTAGACTGTTAAATATCTCCTTGGCTTTTTAAATTTTAGTTTGTGTTTCTGTTCATTTCAACCCCTTCACAAGTGCAGAGCTCATTGGCAATAGTAACATGAAAAACATGATTAATCTATTTTTTTTGAGTGTTGGTTCTCTTTTGAGTTCAGAGCCAATCATTTACAGAGTAGGGAATAATGGCATACTTTTCAGTAGCCATGGAAACTGGTATGTCGCACATTACATACAAAATAAAATTTCAAGAATGCTAAGTTCCCAAATTTGTAGCTCAGTGATTTTTGACAGCTAAATATGGTTAGAGAATTTTTTCTCTTAAATGTGGGAATCTCAATATAAAAAAAAAAAGAAAGATGTAATCAAAAGTTGAAAAGGGATTTGTGGATGCGAGAGACCATAGGCAATATGTCTAAATCTGTAATTAACTTATATGGGAACCTCACCTAGTTACTCAAATTTTAAGTTTTTTGTGTTTCCCATGTGGACCACATTATTTGCCTCCCTTGCTGGAACCTCATGAAGCTTAATTAATGATTGTGAACCACTTTGACTTCCACAGCTAGAGGATGTTAGAGAAATGCAAATTATTATTGTTATTTATTATTTATTGTTTTCTATCCAAACTTAGTTCCAGTATCGGCAGGCATACTCCTTGAACTATAGAGGCAAATTAATAATAAATTCAGTGTTAATCCCTTAGCAACTACCAGAATATCCTCAACAAGAACCAGTTAAATATTGGTCTATAAAAATATTTTCATTTTATACTTCTATTAAAAAATCAACAGTTAAAAGTTTTAAAACTTGCCATAAAGCTAATAATTTTATTTCTATTAACTGGCTCTACTTTGAATTACTGAGGATTTTCATTGCATGCAGCATTTTTACTCAGTTGAGACAACACCATTTTGAACTGGTAATGTGTCTCTGCTTAATGTTTTCCTACAATTGGTAGTTTTAGTTTTCTTTCAATTAAAAAAAATACTGATCAACTTTGTTCAATTCACAAAAATCAAATTTGAAAAGATTATTACATTAAGCTGGGCTAAAACCTTTTGGGTTTTTATTTCTAAAAAGATGTTGATCTTCTTTTTAAGGTTGTTTCCCTTTCATAGTGTTTATAATCACCATATAACCTGAATTATATATATATATTTTTATTATTATTATACTTTAAGTTTTAGGGTACATGTGCACAATGTGCAGGTTACATATGTATACATGTGACATGCTGGTGCGGTGCACCCACTAACTCATCATCTAACATTAGGTTTATCTCCCAATGCTATCCCTCCCCCCTCCCCCCACCCCACAACAGTCCCCAGAGTGTCATGTTCCCCTTCCTGTGTCCATGTGTTCTCATCGTTCAATTCCCACCTATGAGTGAGAATATGAGGTGTTTGGTTTTTTGTTCTTGCGATGGTTTACTGAGAATGATGATTTCCAATTTCATCCATGTCCCTACAAAGGACATGAACTCATCATTTTTTATGGCTGCATAGTATTCCATGGTATATATGTGCCACATTTTCCTAATCGAGTCTATCATTGTTGGACATTTGGCTTGGTTCCAAGTCTTTGCTACTGTGAATAGTGCCACAATAAACATACGTGTGCATGTGTCTTTATAGCAGCATGACTTATAGTCCTTTGGGTATATACCCAGTAATGGGATGGCTGGGTCAAATGGTATTTCTAGTTCTAGATCCCTGAGGAATAGCCACACTGACTTCCACAATGGTTGAACTAGTTTCCAGTCCCACCAACAGTGTAAAAGTGTTCCTATTTCTCCACATCCTCTCCAGCACCTGTTGTTTCCTGACTTGTTAATGATCGCCATTCTAACTGGTGTGAGATGATATCTCATTGTGGTTTTGATTTGCATTTCTCTGATGGCCAGTGATGGTGAGCATTTTTTCATGTGTTTTTTGGCTGCATAAATGTCTTCTTTTGAGAAGTGTCTGTTCATGTCCTTTGCCCACTTTTTGATGGGGTTGTTTGTTTTTTTCTTGTAAATTTGTTTGAGTTCATTGTAGATTCTGGATATTAGCCCTTTGTCAGATGAGTAGGTTGCGAAAATTTTCTCCCTTTCTGTAGGTTGCCTGTTCACTCTGATGGTAGTTTCTTTTGCTGTGCAGAAGCTCTTTAGTTTAATTAGATCCCATTTGTCAATTTTGGCTTTTGTTGCCATTGCTTTTGGTGTTTTAGACATGAATTCCTTGCCCATGCCTATGTCCTGAATGCTATTGCCTAGGTTTTCTTCTAGGGTTTTTATGGTTTTAGGTCTAACGTTTAGGTCTTTAATCCATCTTGAATTGATTTTTGTATGAGGTGTAAGGAAGGGATCCAGTTGCAGCTTTCTCCATATGTCTATCCAGTTTTCCCAGCACCATTTATTAAATAGGGAATCCTTTCACGATTGCTTGTTTTTCTCAGGTTTGTCAAAGATCAGATAGTTGAAGATATACGGCGTTATATCTGAGGGCTCTGTTCTGTTCCATTGATCTGTATCTCTGTTTTGGTACCAGTACCATGCTGTTTTGGTTACTGTAGCCTTGAAGTATAGTTTGAAGTCAGGTAGTGTGATGCCTCTGGCTTTGTTCTTTTGGCTTAGGATTGACTTGGCAATGCAGGCTCTTTTTTGGTTCCATATGAACTTTAAAGTAGTTTTTTCCAATTCTGTGAAGAAAGTCATTGGTAGCTTGATGGGGATGGCATTGAATCTGTAAATTACTTTGGGCAGTATGGCCATTTTCACGATATTGATTCTTCCTACCCATGAGCATGGAATGTTCTTCCATTTGTTTGTATCCTCTTTTATTTCCTTGAGCAGTGGTTTGTAGTTCTCCTTGAAGAGGTCCTTCATGTCCCTTGTAAGTTGGATTCCTAGGTATTTTATTCTCTTTGAAGCAATTGTGAATGGGAGTTCACTCATGATTTGGCTCTCTGTTTGTCTGTTATTGGTGTATAAGATGCTTGTGATTTTTGTACATTGATTTTGTATCCTGAGACTTTGCTGAAGTTGCTTATCAGCTTAAGGAGATTTTGGGCTGAAACAATGGGGTTTTCTAGATATACAATCATGTCATCTGCAAACAGGGACAATTTGACTTCCTCTTTTCCTAATTGAATACCTTTTATTTCCTTCTCCTGCCTAATTGCCCTGGCCAGAACTTCCAACACTATGTTGAATAGGAGTGCTGAGAGAGGGCATCCCTGTCTTGTGCCAGTTTTCAAAAGGAATGCTCCCAGTTTTTGCGCATTCAGTATGATATTGGCTGTGGGTTTGTCATAGATCACTCTTGTTATTTTGAGACACGTCCCATCAATACCTAATTTATTGAGAATTTTTAGCATGAAGGGTTGTTAAATTTTGTCAAAGGCCTTTTCTGCATCTATTGAGATAATCATGTGGTTTTTGTCTTTGGTTCTGTTTATATGCTGGATTACATTTATTGATTTGCGTATATTGAACCAGCCTTCCATTCCAGGGATGAAGCCCACTTGATCATGGTGGATAAGCTTTTTGATGTGCTGCTGGATTCGGTTTGCCAGTATTGTATTGAGGATTTTTGTATCAATGTTCATCAAGGATATTGGTCTAAAATTCTCTTTTTTGGTTGTGTCTCTGCCAAGCTTTGGTAGCAGGATGATGCTGTCCTCATAAAATGAGTTAGGGTGGATTCCCTCTTTTTCTACTGATTGGAATAGTTTCAGAAGGAATGGTACCAGTTCCTCCTGGTACCTCTGGTAGAATTCGGCTGTGAATCCATCTGGTCCTGGACTCTTTTTGGTTGGTAAGCTATTGATTATTGCCACAATTTCAGCTCCTGTTATTGGTCTATTCAGAGATTCAACTTCTTCCTGGTTTAATCTTGGGAGAGTGTATGTGTCAAGGAATTTATCCATTTCTTCTAGATTTTCTAGTTTATTTGCATAGAGGTGTTTGTAGTAATCTCTGATGGTAGTTTGTATTTCTGTGGGATCGGTGGTGATATCCCCTTTATCATTTTTTATTGCGTCTATTTGATTCTTCTCTCTTTGTTTCTTTATTAGTCTTGCTAGTGGTCTATCAATGTTGTTGATCCTTTCAAAAAACCAGCTGCTGGATTCGTTAATTTTTGGAAGGGTTTTTGTGCCTCTATTTCCTTCAGTTCTGCTCTGATTTTAGTTATTTCTTGCCTTCTGCTAGCTTTTGAATGAATAGCTTTTGCTCTCGGTTTTCTAGTTCTTTTAATTGTGATGTTAGGGTGTCAATTTTGGATCTTTCCTGCTTTCGCTTGTGGGCATTTAGTGCTACAAGTTTCCCTCTACACACTGCTTTGAATGTGTCCCAGAGATTCTGGTATGTTGTGTCTTTGTTCTCGTCGGCTTCAAAGAACATCTTTATTTCTGCCTTCATTTCGTTATGTACCCAGTAGTCATTCAGGAGCAGGTTGTTCAGTTTCCATGTAGTTGAGCAGTTTTTAGTGAGTTTCTTAATCCTGAGTTCTAGTTTGATTGCACTGTGGTCTGAGAGATGGTTTGTTATAATTTCTGTTCTTTTACATTTGCTGATGAGAGCTTTACTTCCAACTATGTGGTCAATTTTGGAATAGGTGTGGTGTGGTGCTGAAAAAAATGTATATTCTGTTGATTTGGGGTGGAGAGTTCTGTAGATGTCTATTAGGTCCGCTTGGTGCAGAGCTGAGTTCAATTCCTTGGTATCCTTGTTAACTTTCTGTCTTGTTGATCTGTCTAACGTTGACAGTGGGGTGTTAAAGTCTCCCATTATTAATGTGTGGGAGTCCAAGTCTCTTTGTAGGTCACTCAGGACTTGCTTTATGAATCTGGGTGCTCCTGTATTGGGTGCATATATATTTAGGATAGTTAGCTCTTCTTGTTGAATTGATCCCTTTACCATTATGTAATGGCCTTCTTTGTGTCTTGATCTTTGTTGGTTTAAAGTCTGTTTTATCAGAGACTAGGATTGCAACCCCTGCCTTTTTTTGTTTTCCATTTGCTTTCTAGATCTTCCTCCATCCTTTTATTTTGAGCCTATGTGTGTCTCTGCACATGAGATGGGTTTCCTGAATACAGCACACTGATGGGTCTTGACTCTTTATCCAATTTGCCAGTCTGTGTCTTTTAATTGGAGAATTTAGTCCATTTACATTTAAAGTTAATATTGTTATGTGTGATTTTGATCCTGTCATTATGATGTTAGCTGGTTATTGTGCTCATTAGTTGATGCAGTTTCTTCCTAGTCTCGATGGTGTTTACATTTTGGCATGATTTTGCAGTGGCTGGTACCAGTTGTTCATTTCCATGTTTAGTGCTTCCTTTAGGAGCTCTTTTAGGGCAGGCCTGGTGGTGACAAAATCTCTCAGCATTTGCTTGTCTGTAAAGTATTTTATTTCTCCTTCACTTATGAAGCTTAGTTTGGCTGGATATGAAATTCTAGGTTGAAAATTCTTTTCTTTAAGAATGTTGAATATTGGCCCCCACTCTCTTCTGGCTTGTAGAGTTTCTGCCGAGAGATCCGCTGTTAGTCTGATGGGCTTCCCTTTGTGGGTAACCCAACCTTTCTCTCTGGCTGCCCTTAACATTTTTTCCTTCATTTCAACTTTGGTGAATCTGACAATTATGTGTCTTGGAGTTGCTCTTCTCGAGGAGTATCTTTGTGGCGTTCTCTGTATTTCCTGACTCTGAATGTTGGCCTGCCTTGCTAGATTGGGGAAGTTCTCCTGGATAATATCCTGCAGAGTATTTTCTATCTTGGTTCCATTCTCTCCATCACTTTCAGGTACACCAATCAGATGTAGATTTGGTCTTTTCACATAGTCCCATATTTCTTGGAGGCTTTGCTCATTTCTTTTTATTCTTTTTTCTCTAAACTTCCCTTCTTGCTTCATTTCATTCATTTCATCTTCCATCGCTGATACCCTTTCTTCCACTTGATCGCATCAGCTCCTGAGGCTTCTGCATTCTTCACGTAGTTCTCAAGCCTTGGCTTTCAGCTCCATCAGCTCCTTTAAGGACTTCTCTGTATTGGTTATTCTAGTTATCATTCATCTAAATTTTTTTCAAAGTTTTCAACTTCTTTGCCTTTAGTTTGAATTTCCTCCTGTAGCTTGGAGTAGTTTGATCATCTGAAGCCTTCTTCTCTCAGTTCATCAAAGTCATTCTCCGTCCAGCTTTGTTCCATTGCTGGTGAGGAACTGCGTTCCTTTGGAGGAGGAAAGGCTCTCTGCTTTTTAGAGTTTCCAGTTTTTCTGCTCTGTTTTTTCCCCATCTTTGTGGTTTTTTCTACTTTTGGTCTTTGATGATGGTGATGTACAGATGGGTTTTTGGTGTGGATGTCCTTTCTGTTTGTTAGTTTTCCTTCTAACAGACAGGACCCTCAGCTGCAGGTCTGTTGGAGTTTGCTAGAGGTCCACTCCAGACCCTGTTTGCCTGGCTATCAGCAGCGATGGCTGCAGAACAGCAGTTTTTCATGAACTGTGAATGCTGCTGTCTGATCGTTCCTCTGGAAGTTTTGTCTCAGAGTAGCACCCGGCCGTGTGAGGTGTTAGTCTGCCCCTACTGGGGGATGCCTCCCAGTTAGGCTGCTCGGTGGTCGGGGTCAGGGACCCACTTGAGGAGGCAGTCTGCCCGTTCTCAGATCTCCAGCTGCGTGCTGGGAGAACCACTGCTCTCTTCAAAGCTGTCAGACAGGGACATTTAAGTCTGCAGAGGTTACTGCTGTCTGTTTGTTTGTCTGTGCCCTGCCCCCAGAGTTGGAGCCTACAGAGGCAGGCAGGCCTCCTTGAGCTGTGGTGGGCTACACCCAGTTCGAGCTTCCCAGCTGCTTTGTTTACCTAAGCAAGCCTGGGCAATGGCGGGCACCCCTCCCCCAGCCTCACTGCCACCTTGCAGTTTGATCTCAGACTGCTGTGCTAGCAATCAGCGAGACTCTGTGGGCGTAGGACCCTCCGAGCCAGGTGCGGGATATAATCTCCTGATGCGCTGTTTTTTAAGCCCGTCGGAAAAGCGCAGTATTCGGGTGGGAGTGACCCAATTTTCCAGGTGCTGTCTGTCACCCCTTTCTTTGACTAGGAAAGGGAACTCCCTGACCCCTTGCACTTCCTGAGTGAGGCAGTGCCTCACCCTGCTTTGGCTCTCGCTCGGTGCGCTGCACCCACTGACCTGTGCCCACTGTCTGGCACTCCCTAGTGAGATGAACCCGGTACCTCAGATGGAAATGCAGAAATCACCTGTCTTCTGCATCACTCAAGCTGGGAGCTGTAGACCGGAGTTGTTCCTATTCAGCCATCTTGGCTCCTCCCTACCTGAATTATATTTTGTAAATTTTGAATAAAAATGGCAGATACACTTATATTGAATATATACTAAGAGATTCCTTTCAAAAATATAGTTACTTTTTTATAGAAAATGATAGTAAAGTGGAAAAATTAAGGCTACATAAATGGAGTAGAGAAAATGCTTCCTTAACAGAATAAGCGTTCTTCCTCATGAGAAGAAAACAATGTACATTTTTCTTTTCCTCACATACTATTGTCTCCATATGAATTAACACAAAATAATAACCAAAATGTTATTTGTATAAATGTCATAATGCAGTATTGATGCATTTAATTATTTGTAGTTTGTATTCCAAGGCAGGTAGTTTCTTGACATACATATTGTACATCTAGTACCTTCATCACTATATATACATTTCATCTATCTCAAACATGTATTCAAATGCTATATTTATTTTTGTTTTCTTCATATATATTTGTAAGGGATATTTATTTTATCAGCTTTAAAGCAACATTTTACAAAAATTTTAAAGTATAAATTGTATACATTCAGTTCATAGGTCAAAAAACCTGCAAAATTGGTATGAAAGAAATAATAATGTGTATATCAATGCTATAAAATGCTCTGTACATTATAAGTTTTCTCATAGTGATAATTTATCATCCATTCTTCTGATACAATAATAGAAATCACAGGAAAATATGATACTGGAAAAAGAACAAGAAAGCCAACTTTAATTTATTCTTTCATTTTTCAAATATGATGAACAACTTATAGTGTGTAAGAAACTATCCTAAACTATGATTTGATTGTTCTGGATGGGGCCTCTGCATCATTTTTTTTTCCAAAGCTGCAGGTAATTCTTATGGCAGCCGGTATATACTAAAGACAGATATTACACAGATAAAATGCTCCAAAGATTTTGGAGCACAGTAGGGAAATAATCATGCAAATAAATAATTGTGTTTCAAAGTGAAATAGAGAAGGGTTAGGAGGAAATGAGAAGTTCCTCAAAGGATAGAAGTTTCAGTTATGCAAGGTGAATAAGTACTGGAGATCTAATGTACAACAGTGTGAGTATAGCTAACAATATTGTATTGTGTACTTGAAATTTGCTAAGAGGGTGGGTCTTAAGTGTTTCTCTCTCTCTCTCACACACACACACATATTCACACACACAATAGCAACTATGTGAGGTGATTGATATATTAATTAGGTTCATTGTGATAATTTCACAATGTATACATATGTCAAAAGATTATGTTAAAGATATATAATTTTTGTCAATTATTTTTCAATAAAGATAGATTGTATATAAAAATAGAGATATAAATAGAGAAAGAAAGAATAAGATTTCTGGAGAGGATGCAGCTAAGAGTTCAGGGACTACACCAAAGAAATATATAGTTTAATAAAGGGATGAACCAATTATGCAAATAATTAACAGTTCTAAGTGGTATATGAAACATGTATAAAAGTGTTATTGCAAATTAAAAGAGGGAGAGATCACTTGGTGATCAAGGATCCTATTGACCATATGGTAATACTAAACAAGCTGCAAGTTGTTTTGTGTTTAGACCAATGTACTCCAACATGTGTGCATATACCCAAGGGAGCCATGTAGAAAATATTGACTTATATTTGCATTTATTTTTATTTACTTTATATTTAGAATGCATGTGTGGTTTAAAAAAAATTTAGATATGCACAAACTTTGAGTAAAACTCATCTAAACACACTACTTTATTTAAGGTTATGCCTATTTCAGGCTAAGGTCATGTAATCCTTTTTAAAATATGTTCTTTAACATGCTTCCCTGCATTGAGCATTGTCCTAAGTCTCAAACTGAATTATCTACTTGAACTTTTGATAACTTTGTTGATGTACTTCAATGAGATATTTTTATGAGAATGGATTGGTCTCTGCACAAAGTCTTATATTCCAGTATCATTTAGTGTCATAAGGTTAAAAAAAAAATGTGTCCTATGAGCAGAAAATAGATGTTACGGGCTTACTCATGCATTTTCTTCCAAGAAGAGAATTGATACATATTTGTTGTTTTCCACACTATGACACTCACATGTTAGTAATATTATTACAAATTTATATTTTTGAGTAATAACTAGCTATAAAGAGGAAGAAGTTAAAAGAGCAAAAATAAATTAGTTTCTTCTTTTCCAATTTTAGCAGCTACCTTTTCTTCTCCTCTCCCTGCGTCTCTGCCAAAATGTTGATAATTAACTGAGTGCAGCTGAGCTCACAAGAGATTTAATGTTATTGCCACTTCTCACATCTCTTTTAGGAGCCAGTTCTAATATAAGAAACACTAGGAGTTCCTGATAGAAGTGTTATCAATCTCCAAGGCATGGGTGGCTGGGGCTTTTGATTATACTATACTTTCACCTAAAATACTCACCATTTTATCATTCATTTAACAAATTTCCAAGTTCAGAATTCCCTTTAGCATTCTGAGGCAAATACCATTCCCAAAGGCTACCTTTTCCTCGCTACTAAGAGACTCCTCATTTTATGTTTAGGTAACCTTGCAGGCATTCCCCAATCTCTAAGAAAGCAAGACCCTCCTACAGCCTCAGTGGGTGGTTATGATTTGTGAAAGCCAAACATGGCATCCCCTTTGCCAGATGTTTACTGTCACAGGCTTCCTTGCTCCAAAGAGTGCCATGTGACATGGCCAATGAGGCAGAAGAAGTCCTCTGCTAAGTTTCTGAGAAGATTTCTTTCTCTTACTATAAAAGCATGCAGCTCCTACGTTTCCTTCTTTTACAGAAAGACAGTGTGGAACTTAATGAATGCATTTCCCCAGCCATCTTGTAAACAAAAAAGAAAGAACAAGAGAATTGTGAAGATTTTTATTAAAAATCATGCTGTTTAACCAACCCTGACCTGTCTAAATAGAGTTCTTATGATAAATAATTTTATTACAGAAACTTGTCAGTTTGTCAGCTTTCTACTAAATACTGAAGAAAACAATCTTAACTAATATACTTTACCTAAATACACCAATTCTCATTAATCTTATTCTCCATGCTTCTGTAACACATGTAGTTCCTACATATAATTTAGTACTAAATTTTATGGGAATTTATATTGCTTGATGTTTGTTTTTATATGTATTCTGGCCTAAATCATAATTGCCTTGAGTGTGGAAGCCCGATTTTATCTTTCCTGTGTATTTTCCCTTATGCCTTGCACAATTCTGGCTCATAAGAAGCGTAATGTATTTTAAAAGGAAGTGTGTGTGTGTGTGTGTGTGTGTGTGTGTGTGTGGCGGGGGTGTGAGTGTGCACGCAGGCATGCGTGTGTTGCCTTTTTCTCGCCTTGAAACTCAAAACTCTGTCATTGCTCTCCTGGAACATGGGTCTTTGTCTATTTTATTCTTTCCTGGACTAATTTTTCTCTTTTTCTTACTTGCTCCTCCTCTTTCTAGAGTCTATTTGTAGGTACTCAAAAAGCTCCATTTTTGATGTTATTTAATTTTCTTTTCTTTTCTCTTCCTTAAAGATTGCATCCACTATGATGCTCATTTCCTTTACATAAAAACGACTGTTGTATGTGACTCCCACTCTGATCTCTATCCCACATATCTACTGGTCACTGCCAACTACCTTATGTTGGTACTACCCACTAATATACAATTATAACTTCATTCTGCATTTAGTCATTGCAAGTTAAAGTATAAGCTCTCTCCTCTGAATTTTACAGCTCTGTGTTTGTACCAGCTGAACACACTATACATCTACTGCTTGTTTTAATAATTTATCTTCACTTAGACTTTAAGCTCCTTAAGAACAAGGATTCTATCTCGTTAACCTTTAATTACTCTCTACCTATATATGTCTCATATATAATATGAAATCAATAAATGTTTGAATGAATATTTACTTTCTGTATTTTAACATAGAAGTATATCCTGTTAAGATAATTATTTTTTCTCTTTATATATTTCAGTATATTTGAGGTATCATCTTTTTTACAAATAGCTAGGGAAGATGTATTTTCATTGATCTGCTCAGTATGCAGAAATCTTTGGACTATGTTCAAAATCCCATGCTAGTACAGTTTAATTAAGATCAACTTTAATTTTCAGCATCTTTTTAATAGAAAGAATTATATGTTGTTAAGTTTATATATTTTCATAAACTTGTATCAAAAAATACCAAATATCATTTAATCCCTGTTTATTCTGAGAGTAAACATTTCATGAAATCCACTCCAAGGATTGAAAACATACATCCACACAAAAACTTGTACGTGGATGTTCACTGCAGTATTAGTCATAATGGCCAAAAAATGGAAAAAGTTCAAATGTCCAACAGCTGATGAATGAATAAACCAAATGTGGAATATATATATATATACAAAATTTTTAGCCATAAAAAGAAATACAGTACTGATTCATGCTATTGCATGGATGAACTTCAAAAGCATTATCATAAATGAAAGAAGTCAGACACAAAAGGCCAAATATTATATGGTTCCATTTATATGATATGTATGGAATAGGCAAGTGCATAGAGACAAAAATTAGTGATTGCTGGAGTCTGGGGAATGGAGGAAACACAGTGGCTACTAATGAGTACTAAATTTATTTTTTTGGATGATTAATATGAATCATCCAAGATCTATTAAAATTCCTAATTACCTGGAGTTAGGGAGTGGTAATGATTGCTCAACTTTGGGAATATACTAAAAACCACTGAATTGTATATATTAGAGGAGTTACTTTTATAGTATGTAAGTTATATCTCAATAAATTTTTTTTTGGAAAAAAACCTATGAAAACTAATGATTCTTAGCTTTTAGGATATTTGGATTCATAATATATCAGGATACTTAGATAAAGCATGGATTTAAATTAAAAAGCCCCATTTTCTCAGATATAAAAGATTTACTGAAAAATGATAATCTATACTTTGTCAATAGTGAAATCTATTCCTATTATTCATATATTATCTCACTTGTTTATTACCTGCTACTCTGTGGGGAAGGCTGAACTATAAATTGTACATGAGTGGCTTGTACAATAATAACTAGTATTCAATAAGTAACCAACATTTAAGTGGCATAAAAATGCTGTGGGATAATTGAAAAAGATGCTCTTCATTTTTCTTGGGGTTAGAAAATTGGATAATGTTTATTCTTGCTATTGGAGAATGAGTAGAAGTTTACCAAGTGAGCACTTATTCCACACAGAGGAAATAAAAATACAGACGAAGTATATGAAATGCTTAGAGAATTATGAGTCATCTCTATGGCAGATCCTAGCATGTACTTTTGTGTAGGACTCAGTAAAGACTTACCACATCCCCTCGTGTCATTCTGTGACTTCCCCATCTTCTAGCTGCATTATAAAGGAAAGATTTAGATTTCATTTAAAGTAATCCTTAAAGACCAAAAAAGTTAAATTTTAATGCATTTGTATGTTTGATATGCATTTGTATGTTTGATATAAAATAAATTTTTATTCTTTATTACAGTAACGCCATTTAAATAAATGTAGTGAATTGACTGCCACTACACAAATTTGCAATCATGTAAGATAGATCTAGAGATCTAATGAACAGCATGAGAACGCTAGTTAATAATATTGTATCGTGTACTGAAAAATTACTAAGAGAGTAGATTTTATGTGCTTTTACCACACACACAAAGGGAGTTATGTGAAGTGATGGATATGTTAATTTGCTTGATGGTAGTCATGATTTTACTATGATGATGTATATCAAAGCATTGTGTTGTATATGTTAAATATATACAATAGAAAATAAAAAATTCAGGCTGTGAGTGTAATAAAGAACACAATCCCACTTACAATAGCCACAAACAAAATGAAATACCTAGGAATACAGCCAACCAAGGAGGTAAAAGATCTCTACAGAACTACAAAATAGTGCTGAAAGAAAGAAATCAGGGATGACACAAATAAATGGAAAAGCATTCCATGCTCATGTGTAGGAAGAATCTATATAATAATAATGACCATACTGCCCAAAGCAATTTACCGATTCAGTGTTATTCCTATCAAACTACCAATGTCATTCTGCACAGAATTAGAAAAAAAAAACTGTTCTAAAATTCATATAGAACCGAAAAGGAGCCTGAATAGACAAAACTGGAGGCATCACACTACCCAACTTCAAACTATACTATAAAGCCATGCCAACTAAAACAGCTTGGTACTGGTACGAAAACAAACACATAGACCAAAGGAACAGAACAGAAAACTCAGAAATAAAGCTGCAGACTTACAACCATCTGATCTTTGACAAGGCCAACAAAAACAAGCAATGGGGAAAGGACGCCCTACTCAATAAATGGTGCCGGGATAAGTGGCTAGCCATATGCAGAAGATTGAAGCTGGGCCCCTACTTTTTACCCTATACAAAAATTAACTCAAAATGGATTAAAGATTTAAATGTGAGACCTCAACCTATAAAAATCCATGGAAGACAACCTAGAAAATACTCCTCTTGACACTGGCCTGGGGAAAGGACTTTTGGCTAAGTCCTCAAAAAGCAAAGTAACAAAAACAAAAGTCAGCAAGTGGGACTTAATTAACCTAAAGAGTTCTGCGCAGCAAAAAAAGAAAAAAAATAAAAACTATCAAGACAGCAAACAGACAACCTACAGAATGGGAGAAAATATCCACAGCTAGGGATTAAAAAAAAAAGAGCCTAATAACCAGAATCTATAGGGAACTTAAACAAATCAATAAGCAAAAACAACCCCATTAAAAAATGGGCAAAAAACATGAACAGACATTTCTCAAAGGAGGACATGCAAGTGGCCCATCAATGTATGAACAATGCTTAACATCACTAATCATCAGAGAAATGCAAATCAAAACCACAATGAGATGTGATCTCACATCAGTCAGAATGGCTATTACTAAAAAGTCAAAAAAAAAAAAACAAATGCTGGCAAGGCTGCAGAGAAAAGAGAATGCTTATACACTGTTGGTTGGAAGGTAAATTATTTAAGCCATTGTGAAAAGCAGCTTGGAGATTCTCAAAGGACTTAAAACAGAACTATCATTCAACCTCACAATTCCATTACTGGGTATATACCCAAAAGAAAATAAATTGTTCTACAAAAAGACACATGTATTCATATGCTCATTGCCGCACTGTTCACAACAGCAAACACATAGAGTCAACCCAGATGTCCATCAGTGGTAGACTGAATTAAAAAAAATGGTAAATATATACCATAGAATACTACACAGCCATTTAAAATGGATGAAATCATGCCCTTTGCAGCAACATGTATAAAGCTGGAGGACATAATTATTATTTTTCTTTTTTGAGATGGAGTCTTGCTCTGTTGCCCAGGCTGGAGTGCCATGGCACGATCTCAGCTCACTGCAACCTCTGCATCCTGGGTTCAAGCAATTCTTCTGCCTCAGCCTCCCAAGTACCTGGGATTACAAGTGTGCACCACCACACCTGGCTAATTTGTGTGTGTGTGTGTGTATTTTTAGTAGAGACAGGGTTTTGCCATGTTGGCCAGGCTCATCTCAAACACCAGACCTCAGGTGATCCACCTGGGAGGACAGAATCTTAAGCAAATTAACGCAGGAACAGAAAAGTCAAATACCACATGTTCTTTCTTATAAGTAGGAGCAAAAGATCAAGTACACATGGACATAAATATGGGAACAATAGACATTGTGGACTACTAGAGGGTCAAGGAGGTGAGGTTGGGTTAAAAAACTACCTATTGGGTAGCATGCTCATTACCTGAGTGATAAGATCCATACTCCAAACTTCAGCATCACACAATATTCCCATGTAATAAATCTGTACATGTACTCCTATATCTAAAATACAAGTTGAAACAAAAACATTGTGAATATGCTTTTGGCTGCTGACTTGTACACTTAAAAATGTTAAAATGATAAGTTTTATGTAATTTATTTACAATAAAAAATAAAGCTTTTACACATTACAATAAAATATGTATACTGACAAAATTAAAAAAAATTTAAAAAGGATTAAACTATAAAAATCCTAATAGAGTCAACCAAAAATATATATGAAAATTATTTTGTACTTTTTTACGTGTAAATAGTTGTTCTAAAAATTGGAAGGGAACAGTCTGATTTACAGGGTACAGAGAGTTCAGTCTTTGAATATAAGTCATTTATGTAAATACCTGAACACACCGAAAGGAAATAACTTTTGGGGAGGTGTCTTCTGCATCTAGTTAACAAATAGTCAGATTTATATAGAAGGATCCATGAGAGAAGGAGGATAAAGAAAAAGAAGGATGAAGAAAAGGAGAAAGAGGAGGGGAAAAGGAATAAATGGGGCAGATGTTCTATATAGAACTTTCCAGCTACTGTCCTTAATCAGACAACAAGCTCTAAAATACTCAGTTACATTGTGTTCTCCTAGGAATTCAGCTTGGAACATACAAAGTGAGGAGGCTACAGGCCCCTCGGGTCATCCAGGATAGAGCCAGAGTAATTGGTGCTTGCCTAAGGATAGCATCCAGACACATATTGCTCCAAATTCTAATGACTAAGTTTGAGCATTCTGCTACATTTCTTCTGATAAAATTGCTTTTCCCATGTCAAAAATTTCTTAAGTAACAGGCAAAAAGGTCAAAGGTCTTTTTTGGATTTAGTAATTTACCAATTATTCAATCTATCAATTTATTAAAAATATAACCTAAAGTTCTATAATGGCAAGGTGTTGAATGCAGAGTTTGAAACCCAAACTAAATCTCATTGTAGTTCGTTTGCTCCTTATGACATGAGATGTGCTAACACCAAGGTTATGGGTGTAGTGTAATTGAAAATTCAAAGTAAAAAAAAAATCACTCATTTCAATCATTCTAATGTCTGATATCCTTATGCCTCCCTTTCTCTGTTTCTAGTAATCCCTTTCAAATATTTGCTGAGCAGTAAAAAGCTTATATTTCATTCTCCAGCTGTACCTACCTCTTCACTTGCATACAAATAGGACTGTTTCACTCAAACATGATTTCCACGGATGATGTTTCTCAGAGGCTGTCTCTTCTTTAGAACTGACACATTCACAAGTGTTCAATCAGGGAAGTGAAGCGATCCAATGTTGATTGGCATTGCACAATGACATTATGATCAGCATCAGATTAAAGCACCACATATAATGGTGATAAGCTAGTGTGATATTCATATTTTGCTACTTGGAAAAGGAATTCTTGCCCCATAACCCTAACTGGGCTTTCCTTCTCCCTTTTTTTATTAATCAGTTTCTGATCCAGAAAAAAAATGGAAGGTAGGAGAAAATTCCAAAAAGACAAAAGAAAACTCTGAGATAGTTTATGCCAAAAACTGTTCTTGCCATTTTCACATAGGTTTCCTTTTTGTTGATTAACTAAGTGGTAGTGGGCCAAACAGGATGGGAACTAGCCATACTGTCAGACTATCAACACAAATTTCAGAGATGATGGATCAGATAGATAGATAGATAGATGACAGGTAGGTAGATGGATAGATACATACATACATACATACATACATAGATGATAGAATAACAGACCTATTTCCAACTTCTATGTCATCTCTAATCATGTCCCATGATCTCTTCCTTCATCAATAGCTGTAACATAAGGGCAGTGCCATCAGTGGTCTTAGCCCTAAGAGATCTACAAAATCTATTACGTTCTGTCATTCTGAAGAACTCACCATCCTGTCCCCATCACAATGCTCTCTGTACCTTGTGTCCCTGCGTACACACTGGATAAATTATTGTCAATAGAGAGAATTGGGTGCATAGCTTACTTTGGGAGTTAATGCTTTCAAATTCTGGCTATCAGAGTTTCTCCAGCTGACAATTCACACTCAGTACCTTGCCAGAGGCATCCCATTTACAGTTAAATATAAGACTACCTAAAGATGAAAAGAAATAAATGGCTATTAATGAATCAAATATTTGAGAAATGCATTTCATGAAAATATAGGTCATTTCATTTCAATCTTGTAATAAGTAATCAATTTAACATATAGGTAAAGGGCACCAGTTCAGCAGCCAGATTTCCTGGATTCTAATTCCTTCTCTGTCATTTTTCTAGTTATATGAATCTGTGCTGATAATCTCTTAGTGCCACAATTCCTCATCTGAAAGATGGGAATAGTAATAACATCACATCATAAGGCAGTTGTGTTGAATAAATGAGATGGTATATGTAAAGAGCATGGAATCATTCTTAGCATGTAGTTAAGAAATACAGAAAGGGTAAATATTGTTATTATTATCTTAGACTTTTCTCTTAAAATATCAAATAGTCATTGTTTGTAAAAATATTTTCGCTATCATGGCCCTTCACTCTTTTAATTTATCAAACTACAGGCTCCAAAACTTGTTATATATTTTACTTTAAGTGTTTTAGAATTTCTCTGAGCTTTCATTTTCTGGACAATAAAATGGAATCAAATTATTTAATTCAAAATGGTGAACTAAGATTATATGTTTACCTCTACATACCTCTTTTTGCAGATTCTAACCCACCATAATCTCCACTAAAATGATGGTAGAATAGAATATAAAAGTCTAAATAATCTTAATCAGGAAATCAGGAAAGGCAAATTTCATGAACTTTTGCAAGATATGTTAGAAATAAAACAGATGAAAGATAGTATAAACTGTTTTCTTAAAGGAACCCAATAACAGCCTTACATTTGAAACTGGATCAAATTTCCACTTATTTTAAATGCTGCTTATATAAAATTTAAATCCTTACAATTATATAAGAAAATAATTCTATGTATATTACTACCACAGCACTATCATATATTAAACAAACTCATAGGCTATTACTGTCATATCAAATCAACACAAATCAGAAATCTTACCTACCAAGCTTTACTAATTTTAGGAACACAAGCAATCGAATAGCTCAGAAGCAGAGAGATGCCTGGACTTTGAGAGCCTCTCCCAGGCATTTCCCTTCTGTATGGGACTGCACCTTTGGCCCAAAATAGGTAAAGTCTCTAAGTGAGCTTTGCAGGGATCCTTACACAGTAGAGAGCATTTAATTTATGTAACATCTCCATTTTATTTCCCCAGAATTGTGTAGGCTATGTGGCATTCTCCAGGGAGCCATTCCTCGCAGGCTTTGTGTTCTGTTTACTAGAGGTAATCCTTATCCGGGAACTTCTGCCATGGGCATTTCAGGAACAAGTTCTCTTCCTTCTAGCAAATATCATTAGTCTATTTACCCAGAGGTCCTACGGACAAGAAAATTAGTCCAGTTTACCTTCCTTATTTTATTTTCTCCTGGCACTTCCCTACAATAAAGCCAGTGGATTTATTTCTGTCTGGCTGCTTTAACTATTTCTTTCCTTTAATCACTTTTAATATTTCAGATTGTCTTATAAGCATATTGTTATGGAATGATCACAGATCTACAGGGTAGGAGAGTGAATATTATTATCTCTGCATTAAAATTAAAAAAATCAAAGTTCAAAGAGATTGGAGTCCGGCATATCAAATTTCCAGAACCAACAGTGCTGTCTTTAGATTCTCAGTTTAGAGCCCATGTGTGCATAAAGGCACATAATCAGGATTGCCTCCATTTGAGAGCCCTCATATAAAATACAAGAAGGGTGCTTGAAAAGGACACTAAGGAAAGAGAATTCTCTCTTTAGAAAGAAATAAGAAATAAAAATAAAGCAACCTTTCTTCTCCCAAATAGCTTAAGAAATGGAGATCAAAACAATGAAAAATATGTATTTATTTGTATCTTATGCTTATCTCAAAAGCTCCCTTAGGCTGGGGATACACTGGTCATTATCAGCATTATCAAGTAATATTGTCCTGGAATCAGAATAAAATTATTCATTTAATTTAGATATAAAGTCATATATTTATGATGGGTTATTTCTTTATATACATTGCCAATGATAGAATGAATGGTGTATTCATGCCGTTGCCCATAGAATATTTTCACTTAAGTGAAAACACTGACAATTAGGAACACTCACTAAAGCAGGACTGTTCCACACAATGACCTGACAGATACACAGATTTATCTGAGAAGTTGTTCATAAACTTTGAGCTGCTCCCTGAAGAGAGAAGAGACAACCACAGGATAATGATTGAAATTAAAGTTTTAAGAATGGAGATAGCATTTTTAATCGTGGCGAAATTGCCATCTCAATATTCTTAAAAGATGTTCAATATTTAAATAAGATCATTTTAAGATCTAATGAAGCATATGCAATATTTAATTGAATCATAATTTTCCTTTAGAAAACAGGGAGCCTCTCAGGTATAATGTATATTATCGTCAATTATGTAGTAGCTCTAAAGTTAAGGTTTATCTTAACAAAACAAATTAATCTTCACAAAAGTTAATTTTAAAAGAATCATAGGTCTTTAGCTATGCAAAACCTGAGTGGAGCTGCCCATGCAGCTCTGTCCTGTTAATGCAAAGTTAGAAACAGTATTTGAGTATGGAAATTGTGTCTTGATAGATGACGCACATGAGTAATTTACATTGGTGCAATGTTGAAAAGACCCTTAGATTCTGGTAACTCTTTTCTCCTGTAACTACAAATAGTTTTCAAAATTTATTTTATGTTGTAGAAACTAATTATAAATAGCTAATTTTAATAACAAATACTTAAAAATACCTGTTAAATTAAAACACAATTCATAATTTATTCATTTTAATAAACCTTAATTGATTGCCTAGTATGCAATTTTTTATGTGCCACATAAAAAATATCATGGCGTCAAGTGAACGTAACATACATATTTAATAATGTGTCATTGTTATAGTCTTTGTCTTTCAAGATAAATTACTTAAACAAATCTTCAGTTTTGATCATTTTTTTCCTGAACTCAATGATTTGAAACTTTTTGTTGCTTCAGGTGAAGCACATCCTACTAATAATTTTCTTCTCCAAAACTAGTTTTCTAAATAAATTCATAGTTAAATTTTAAAGTATATGAATATGGAAGTAAAGAGAGGCTGCTATAGTAGGCTTTAAGAAGGATTATGAAGGATTAGGTGGCTGAAAAGCCCTGTTGATGGAGAATTGAGAATTTATGGGTTGTCTGCCCAGGCCTTCTTTGCTTTTAATTTCCCACTCCCTTAGAGTTGTGCTACTGACAGCCACTCATGTACTATGTAATGCTCCTTTCCCAGATATTGATGATTAAGTCCATCAAATTTAGAACAGGGATTCAGAACACATAGTTAGTCTTTGCATGTGGTCAGAAATTTAACACATATCCTGGGTAGAAATAGGGCAGCTATGCACCACTGTGAGGATGGAAAAGCAGAGTAGAAATCTGGTGTGTTGAAGAGCAAACAGGAAGGAAGCAGGTGGATGGGAAGAGGAGAAAAATATCTGCATCCATGTCCCTAATTGCTTTCCAGCTTCTCTCACCATCTTACCCTGGACTTGGGAATATTCCTGTCCTTGGATTATAGGGTTCCGTAATATAACCTTGTAGCATTATCATAATATCCCTCACCTGTTGTCCTCTCAAGCCACACTGAGTTGTTTTTCTTAAATAAACCTGCTAAGATTTAAATAATATAAGGCATTCTGGGGAAAATAGGAATGGGCAATAAAGTAAAATTTCTATATCCACTTTTTATAAATTTTTATATCCACTAAAATCATGAAGAAAAATAGTGAACTAAGTTAACAACAGTCATATTTTGCTTAAATTATTGACTCTTGCCTCTCTTATATATTATATCCTAGTACCTTCTGAAAGGTAAAACTCTCCACTGCAGATTCTACCATGTCTTCAGATGTCAAAGCACTTAGCTATTAGGAGCAGGGAGTTTCACGTAGTATTTGTCTTTCTTCTTCCCCAGTGTTCAGATGGTTGCTGGTAAGTAACTTTATCCCAGGACTCCTGCTGTGAGTCATTCTTCTGTACATCCATATTTCTCATCAGCTTTTCCTCAAAGCTCTATTAAAAAAATTATTACTCAAGACTCATGATATTTCCTTTTTATATTCTCAGTACCAAATTTCTTCTCCATCTAAGCCATTTCAAGAGACACATCTCTCTTGTTTTTACTTGAAACCAAATGCTCCTACTTATAAATATTGTATATAGAATAAACCTGTTTATCCCACATAACCTCAAAGAGGAGCAATCTCAAAGAGGAGCAATCTCAAGGAGATCTGGCTTTGGCGGAGAGGTTAATGTATTTTCAAGCAATTATTTTATTGTTTGGCAGCATTTATAGTTAATAATATAATCATCACAGATTTGTGTGATCTCTACAGTGTACAATTCTTTCTGTTATCAGAAATAATATATAATTATATTTAAATTCTCTTTAAGAATTTTTATGAGATTTTCTAGTAGCCCCAATTTTTTCAGTTGGTTGTAAAAATGACATCTTTGAAAATATTTAGCAATAGTATGGAATAACATAATCGTATAATCAAATGTTTGAATCAGAATTTACCATTAATGACTATTAATTTGTGAATAATCTTTTTGCTGTGAATGACAGTGTATTAGTCCATTCTCACACTGCTATTATAACTACCTAAGAATGGGTAATTTATGAAGAAAAGATTTTTAATAGACTCATAGTTCTGCAGGGGGTGCAGGAAGTGTGGCTGGGAGGCCTCAGGAAACATACAATCATAAAAAAGGTGAAGGGGAAGCCAATATGCTTTACCATGGCAAAGCAGGAGAGAGAGAGAGAAAGAGCGAAGAGGGAAGTGCTACACACTTTTAAACAAACAATTCTAATGAGAATTCACTCACTATCACAAGAACAGCAAGAGGGAAATCTGCGCCCATGATCCAGTTACCTCCCATCAGGTCCCTATCCCAACATTGGGAATTACATTTCGACATGAGATTTGGGTGGGGACACAGAGCCAAACCGTATCATTCCACCCTTGACCCATCCCAAATATCATTTCTTCTCACATCTCAAAACACAATCATGACTTCCCAACAGTCTCCCAACGTCTTTATTCATTCCAGTATTAACTCAAAAGTCCAAGTCCAAAGTCTCAACTGAGATAAGGCAAGTCTCTTCTGCCTATGAGCCTGTAAAATCAAAAAGAAGTTAGCTACTTCCAAGATACAATGAGGGTATAGGCATTGGGTAAATGCTCCCATTCCATAAGGGACAAATTGGCCAAAATAAAGGGGCAACAGGCCCCATGCAAGTCCAAAAGCCAGCAAGGCAGACATTAAATCTCAAAGCTCCAAAATAATCTCATTTCACTCCATGTCTCACATCCAAGGCACACTGATACAAGGAGTGGACTCCCAAGGACTTGGGCAGCTACAACCTAGTGACTTTGCAGGATATAGCCCCCATGGCTGCTTTCATGGGCTGGTGTTATGTGTCTGTAGCTTTTCCAGGCACATGGTGCAAGTTGTCAATGCATCTAACATTCTGGGGTCTGGAGGATGATGGCCTTCTTCTCACAGTTCCACTAGGTAGTGCCCCAGTGGAGATTCTGTGTGGGAGCTCAAACCCCACATTTCCACTCTGCACTTCCTTAGTAGAGATTCTCCATCAGGGCTCCACCCCTGCAGCAGACTTCTGCCTGGACATCCAGGTGTTTCCATACAGCTTCTGAAATCTAGGCAGAAGCTCCCAAACCTCAGCTCTTGCCTTCTGTGCACCTGCAGCCAACACCATGTGGAAGCCACCAAGGCTTGGGGCTTGTACCCTCTGAAGCAATGGCCCAAGCTGTACCTTGGACCCTTTTAGCCATAACTGGAACTGGAGCAGCTGGGATGCAGAGCACCATGTCCTGAGGCTGCACAGAGCAGCTGGGCCCTGAGCCTGGCCCACAAAGTTATTTTTCCCTCCTAGGCCTCCAGGCTAGGGGCCTGCTGCAAACGTCTCTGAAATGCCCTGAAGACATTTCCCCCATTATCTTGGCTATTAACATTTGGCTCTTCTTTACTTATGCAAATTTCTGCAGGTTTGAATTCCTCCCGAGAACATGGATTTTCATTTTCTACTGCATGGTTGGGCTGCAAAATTTCCAAATTTTTATGCTTGGCTTCCCTTTGAAATATAAGTTTTAGTTTCAGGTTATTTTGTTGTTTATGCAAATAAATGAAAGCTTTTAGAAGTAGCCAGGCCACATCTTGAATAGTTTGCTCTTTAGAAATTTCTTCTACCAGATACCCTAAATAAGCTCTCTCAAGTTCACAGTTCCACAGATCTCTAGAGCAAAGGAACAATGCTGCCAGTCTCTTTGTTAAAGCATAGCAGGAGTGACCTTTACTCCAGTTCCCAGTAAGTTCCTTATCTCCCTCCAAGACCACCTTAGCCTGAACTTCACTGTCTATGTCACTATCAGCATTTTGGTCAAAGCCATTCAACAAGTCTCTAGAAAGTTCCAAACTTTCCTTCATCTTCCTGTCTTCTTCTGATCCCTCCAAACTGTTGCAGCCTGTGCCCATTACCCCAGTTCCAAAATTGCTTCCAAATTTTCAGGGATCTTTATAGCAATGCCCCACTTCTCCAGTACCGAATTTCTGTACTAGTCTGTTCTCACACTGCTATACAGAACTACCTGAAACTGGGTAATTTATGAAGAAAACATGTTTAATTGACTCACAATTCCATGGGAAGCATGGCTGGGAGACCTCAGGAAACTTACAATAATAGTGGAAGGGAAAGGGGAAGCAAGAATGTGGTACCATGGCAGAGCAGGAGAGAGAGAGCAAAGCGGAAAGTGCTACACTCTTCTAAACAAACAGATCTCATGAGAACTCACTCACTATCACAAGAATAGCAAGGAAAAGTCTGCCCCATTATCCAATCACCTACCATCAGATCCCTCCCTTAACACTGGGAATTACAATTTGACATGAGATTTGCTTGTGGATACAGAGCCAAACCATATCAGAGAGGAACCCCTTTGAACACTGGAGATTTAGCAGAGAACAAAAACCCTCCACTCTTGCAGTTTGCCTTCCATTGTGTGCTGGTGAAGTAAGGGGTGATAGAGAAGATAAAAAATTATAAGTGTTGTAAGGAAAAATAAAGCAGAAAAGGGATCAAAAGAATGATAGCAGAGGCTGAAGAACTAATGAGAGTGTAATGACAAATAGAGTTGTTGGGAAAACCAACAGAGGAGATGGTATTTTAGACATGATGGAGGTGAGGGAATGAGACATAAGAATTTCTGCAAAAGAATGTCTCATACAGAAGAAATAAGTGAAAAATCCCTGAAGCAGGAGCAAGCATAGCATGTTCAGGGCACAGTAGGATCAGTATAATATGGTGAGTGAGGAAAATCTGATCAGAGTTTACAGTCAGCCCTATCACATGAAGTGAAGTCAATCACTGCAAAACTTTGGCTTTTACCTTCATATGACTGTAAAATGACACTTTGGCTGAAATGTAATGCAATATTGTTAAGACTTTGGCTTTTGCTGTCATATCACTGTGATATTCTGGGATTGGAATGGACTCTTTGCCAAGGACTCAAATACTGTCATCAGAATTATATTTCTTGTTCTCCTTTCTTCGTTTCTATCTTCTTCTCAGTTGTCTATTTCTTTCTCCCCTCAAGCCACAAGTAGGAGAAATGGACCCGACCAAACCCCATGGCTTATGTGATTCTTTTTTTTTGATTTTTTTTTGTTTTTTTTTTTTGAGACGGAGTCTTGCTCTGTCACCCAGCCTGGAGTGCAGTGGCACATTATCGGCTCACTGCAACATCCACAGCTCCCCGCACACCGCGTTCAAATGATTCTCCTGCCTCAGCCTCCTGAGCAGCTGGGATTACAGGCACATGCCATTACACCCAGATGATTTTTGTATTTTTAGTAGAGATGGGGTCTCACCATATTGGCCAGGCTGGTCTTGAGCTCCTGACCTCAGGTGATCCACCCGCCTTGGCCTCCCAAAGTGCTGGGATTACAGGCGTGAGCCACCATGCCCAGCTATGTGATTCTTATAGCTAGCAATTTCATAAATAGGGAGACTTTCTCCTAATATTCATATCAGTTGCCCCCCCCCAGGCTCCAATGGTACACTTAGGGTCATGTGTCCAGCTCCATTGTGAGGACCCTGGACCAGTTAAACAACAGTCTCATCCAAATCACATGGAATAGGAGAGGAGCGCTCCAAAAAGGAAAGAATACAGGATTTTTCAAAAGTTAGAGAGGTCCATCAATACTGTGTGACAATGGAAAAGTTATAACACTCTTCAGCCTCAGTCTCTTCCTTAGTAAATTTGGGGAACTGATGCTTACCTCATAGGATTGCTGTGAGTAGTACATTAGAAAGTATTAGCAAAATGCTTTCTCTAAATGGGCACTAAATGTTAACCATTACTACAATATTGACAACTGTCTTTGGAAACTCTAATATATATTATAAAGCAATAAGTATTAAATTTTAAATTTCCAGTTATATTGGAGAGTATATTGTTCTTTCCAAGGCAAAATAGAATCTTACAAACTGAAATTTATAGAGAAAGTTCAGAACTTATAATAGTGAAGGTCCTATTATTTACATCAAAGTCATCTGGTTAGGGTTATCAAGAGTACTGATTTCCTTTTCAAACAAAAAATCTAACCACTGCATTGATAACAGGGACGAACATTTGACATGAGAATTGACTAAAAACCCACTTAGCTTCCACAGCTTTGACCCTTCACCAGAGCATATGTTCTCATTCCCTGCCAGGTAGTATCTCATCTAACGGTTTTGTTGTCCCCTAATAACATAAGGGGGACCACATATGATACATGGTTGTATAATTATAGCCACAGGATGGAAGATAGTGGACACAGGATTAAAGACAAAGAGTTTTTGATATTAAGCATGTTAATTCCCTTTTACCACACTCATTTTTCTAGGGTCCAAATATTCCTGGAAATCTCTTTCAGGGGTTTGGTTTTCCAGATGAAAATGTGCCAGCATTACACTATATTCTAAAACAACTCAGTAAGTTCTTGAGAGCTGTTTTTATTGTGAATACAGTCCTTTTCCTGATTTTTAAAAATAAATTACCATGGGAACACTTTAATTCTGCATATTGTGAAGAGTCAGGTGCTATCATGGACATTAAAAGAGGAAAAAAATTCCAACTTTCAGAAGCCAAGTATACACCAACAATATTTTGATTTAATCCTTCATGCCTGGCTTCTGATTACTTCTAGCTCAGATGATAGAAAGCAATTTTCAGCTAAGTGCTTAACTCCAGAAGTTTGCTTTCACATCTGGACCTCCAGGGCCCTACTTATATATCCCATCATGTAAAGTGTCTCCACAATTCTCTGCTTTTCTTGGAAGAACACATCCACAGAGAGTTTGCATGACTTTCCATTTCAATCACTACATTAAGCCCAAAACTCTGAAGTTCTTCTTGCTTTCTCTACTTTTTGAACTACTACATTTCCTATGACAAAAGGAGAAAAGATAAAAATTCATTCTTGCAATTTAATTTCTGTCACACTAGATGTATTTATCTGTTTAATCAAAACTAACAGAGAACTCCGAGGTATGCATTGCTGATCAGTTTACAACTGTAAAATGAAATTAAAATCGACTTCGGCAAAATGACTGTGACAAATTTCATACATGGCATGTAGGAAGAAACTGAAAAGCCATGGGTGACTGAATAGATGATCCAAATCTTGGAATAGAGATAAATAAATAAGAATGAACTATCCTTGACAGTGTATTTTTAAAAAAATTATTCTGGAACCTAGAGCATCCTCATGAAACAAATTGTGGCTCACATAAAGAATCATCGGAAGGTCATGGTCAGTGGTCATTTCTGATTCCCTATCATAGATACACCTTTTCATAGAAATTATGAAAAATATACACAGCATTAGTTTGTAGTTACAATGATGAAATCTGAGGATCTCAGTGAAAACCTTGGACCACATTATGAAATAAGAGAAAATGTATAGATAAACTCTACATAGAACAATGTGGCCAAAATTGACAGCAAGACAATATCAGTAACATTTAAAATGGATTCTGTATCATTATGACTCAATCAATTTGAAAAAGTATGTTTAATATGCTAGTGACTTGTAAGCTGTTTCACAAATGATTTTAAAATTTGGGGAAAGTTTGCATTGTTCCCCTAACTAGGGTCCCCCCCTACCCCTCAGCTTTATTAAGGTAAAATTAACTAATAAATATTGTATATATTTATGGTACACAACCAGATGTTCTGATATATGTATACACTGTAAAATGATGAACACAATCTACCTAGTTAACATGTCCATCATACCACATAATCATCATTTTTTTGTTCTGAGAACATTTAAGATCTACTACATTAGTAATTTCCAAATAGAAAATATGTTATTATTTCTAGAATCACCAAGCTATAAAATCGATCTCCAGATCTTCCTCATCCTACCTAACTGAAACTTTGTACCCTTTGGCCAACGTCTCGTCATTCTTCTACCTCAGCTCCTGAAAACCCCCACCATTTTAGTCTCTGCTTCTATGATTTCTACTGTTTTAGATTCCACTTATAGTTGAGATTAGGCAAAATTTGTCTTCCTGTGTCTTGTGCCTGGATTATTTCACTTAGCATAATATCCTTCACTTTTATCCATGTTGTTGCAAATAAAAAGACATCCTTCTACTTAAAAGATGGACAGTAATCTATTGTAGTGTGTGTATTGCACTTTGTATCCATTCATCCAAAGGTGGACACTTAGGTTGATTCCAAATCTTGTCTATTGTGACTAATGCTGCAATCAACATGGAGGTGTAGGTGCCTCTTTGAGATACTGATTTTATTTCATTTGGTTATATACCCAGAAACAGGTTTGCTGGATCATATGCTAGTTCTATTTTGAACTCTTTGAGGAACCTACGTGCTTTTTTTTTTTTTACTTTTATTTTAAGTTCAGGGGTACAGGTGCAGGATGTGCAGGTTTGCCACATAGGTAAATGTGTCATGGGGGGTTGTTGTACAGATTATTTCATCACCCACGTATTAAGGCTAGTATTCATTTTTTCTGATCCTCTCCCTCCTCCCATCGTCCACTCTCCAATGGGCCCCAGTGTGTGTTGTTCCCCACTAAGTGTCCATGTGTTCTCATGATTTAGCTCCCACCTATAAGTGAAAACTCATGCTGTATTTGGTTTCTGTTCCTGAGCTAGTTTGCTAAGGATAATGGTCTCCATCTCCATCCATGCCCTGCAAAGGACATGATCTCATTCTCGCTTTTGGCTGCATACTATTCTATGGTGTATATGTACCACATTTTCTTTACACAGTCTGCCATTGATGGGCATTTAGGTGAATTCCATGTCTTTGCTATTGTGAAGAGCACTGCAATAAATATACATGTGCACATGTATTTATAATAGAATGATTAATATTCCTTTGGGTATATACCCAGTAATGGGATTGCTTCATTCAATGGTATTTCTGTGTTTAGGTCTTTGAGGAATCGCCACAGTGTCTTCCACAATGGTTGAACTAATTTACACTCACACCAACAGTGTATAGGTCTTCCTTTTTCTCCACAACTTCGCCAGCGTCTGTTATTTTATGACTTTTTTTTTTTTTTTTTTTTGAGATGGGATCTCTCTCTGTCAACCAAGCTGTAGTGTTGTGCCTCAATCTTGGTTCACTGCAACGTCCACTTCCTAGGCTCAAGCTATCCTCACAGTTCAGCTTCCTGAGTAGCTGAGAACACAAGAACACACCACCACGCTCAGCTAATTTTTTGTATTTTTGGTAGAAATGGGCTTTTGCCATGTTGCCCAGGCTGGTCTCCAGTTCCTGAGCTCAAGGGATCCACCTGTCTCAGCCTCCCAAAGTATTGGGATTACAGACATGAGCCACCATGCCCGACCTATTTTTTGACTTTTTAACAATAGCCATTTTGACTGCTATGAGATGGTATCTCATTGTGGTTTTGATTTGCATTTCTCTAATGATCTGTGGTGTTTAGCTTTTGTTTATATGATTGTTGGCTGCATATATGTCTTTTTTTTGATAAGTGTCTATTCTTGTCCTTTGCCTACTTTTTTTATAACATAAAATTTTATTTATATAAAATTATTGAAATAACAAAATTGTATAAACAGAGAACAAATTAATGGTTGCCAGAAGTTAAGGGGAAGATAGAAATTGGAGGGAAGTGCATGTGGCTATACGTGGACAATAAGAAGGATCTTCGTGGAGATGGAGTATTCTGTATCTTGACACTATCAGTGTCAATATCCTGATTGTGATATTATACTACAGTTTTGAAGGTGGGTAGTGGGAAAAACCTGGGTAACAGGTACATGAGAAAATCTTGGAAAAGCTGGGAACAGCTGGGAAAAGCTGGGTAACAGGTACATGAGAAAAGCTGGGAAAAGCTGGGTAACCGGTACATGAGACCTCTATTATTATTTCTTACAACTGCATGGGAATCTATGCTTATCTCAAAACTAAAGAAAAAAGAAAAGAAAAGAAAGAAAAACACATAAAGCAATAGTAAAACTGTGTTGATGGGTAAAAGGGATTACTTGTGTTTTTTTTTTGTAAATATATTTAAGTTTCTTATAGATGCTGGATATTAGATCTTAATGAGATGCATAGTCTGTAAAAATTTTCTCCCATGTTATAGGTTGTCTGTTTACTCTGTTCATAGTTCCTTTTGCTGTACAGAAGCTCTTAAGTTTAATTAGATTTTATTTGTCAACTGTTGCTTTTGTTGCAATTACTTTTGCTGTCTTCATCATAAAATCTTTGCCTATGCCTATGTCCTGAATGGTATTGCCTAACCTGTCTTCCAGGGTGTTTGTAGTTTTGGGTTTTACATTTAAGTTTTCAATCCATCTTGAGTTAATTTTTGTATATGGTGTAAGGAAGAGATTCAGTTTCAGTTTTTTTTTTTTTTTTTTTTTTTTTTGCATATGGCTAGCCAGTTATCCCAGCATCATTTATTGAATAGGAAATCATTTCCCCTTTGCTTATTTTTGTCAAGTTTTTCGAAAATCAGATAGTTGTAGGTGTGCAATCTTATTTCTTGGTTCTCTAATCTGTTCCATTGGTCTATGTGTCTGTTCTAGTACAAGTACCATGCTGTTTTGGTTAATGTAGCTTTGTAATATAGTTTGAAGTCAGGTAATGTGATGTCTACAGCTTTGTCCTTTTTGCTTAAGATTACCTTAGCTATTCAGGCTCTTTTGTAGCTCCATAAAAATTTTTAAATTGTTTCCTCTAGTTGTGTGAACAATGTCAATGGTAGTTTAATGGGAATAGCATTGAATCTATAAATTGCTTTGGGTGGTATGGCCATTTTAATAATATTGATTCTTTCTATCCATGAGCATGGAATGTTTTTTCATTTGTTTATATCATCTCTGATTTATTTGAATGGTGGTTTGTAGTTCTCTTTGTAGAGATCTTTCAACTTCTTTGTTAGCTGTAATCCTAGATAGTTTATTCTTTTGGGGGCAATTGTGAATGGGAGCTCATTTGTGATTTGGCTCTTGGATTGACTGTTGTTGGTGTACAGGAATGCTAGTGATTTTTGCACATTGATTTTCTATCCTGAGACTTTGCTGAAATTGCTTATCAGCTTAAGAAGCTTTGTGGGTGAGACAATGGGGTTTTCTGGATATGGAATCATGTAATCCACAAACAGGGATAGTTTGACTTCCTCTCATCCTATTTGAATACGCTTTCTTTCTTTCTCTTCCCTGACTGCCCTGGCCAGAACTTCCAATGCTATGTTGAATAGGAGTGTGAGAGAGGGCATCCTTGTCTTTTACTGCTATTCAAGTGGAATGCTTCCAGCTTTTGTTCATTCAGTATGATGTTGGTTGTGGGTTTATCATGTATGCCTCTTGTTATTTTGAGGTATGTTCCTTTAATACCTAGATTATTTTTTAACATGAAGGGATGTTGAGTTTATCAAAATCATTTTTTATATCTATTGAGATAATCATGTGGTATGGTCTTTGGCTCTGTTTGTGTGATGAATCACACTTATTGATTTACATATATTGAACCAACCTTGCATGTCAGGAATGAAACCTACTTGATTGTGGTTATTAAGCCTTTTGATGTGCTGTTAAAATCAGTTTGTCACGTTTTGTTGAGGATTTTTGCATTGATGTTCATCAAGGATACTGGCCTGAAGTTCTCTTTTTTTGTTGTGTCTTTCCCTGGTTTTGATATCAGGATTATGCTGGTCTCATAGAATGAGTTAGGAAGAACCTCCTTTTCAATTTTTTGGAATAGTTTCAGTAGGAATGGTACCAGCTCTTCTTGGTACATCTGGTAGAATTCAACTGTGAACCTGTGTAGTCCTGGGGCCTTTTTTTTGTTTTTTTTTTTTTTGGTTGGTAGGCTATTTATTACTGCCTCAATTTTAGAACTCATTATTGGTCTGTTCAAGGATTCAATTTCTTCCTGGAAGGGTGTATGTGTCCAGGTCTGGGAAGGGTATATGTGTCCAGAAATTTATCCATTCTAGATTTTCTAGTTTATGTGCATAGATGTGTTTATAATATTCTCTGATGGTTCTTTTTATTTCTGTGGGTAACAATGTTTGTGCTAATTTACATTCCCACCAACAGTGTACAAAGTTTCTCTTTTCTCCATGTCCTTACTAAGACTTATCTTTTGTCTTTTTTATAATAGCCATCCTATTAGATGTATTTTTTGCATTTTCCTGACGATTAATAATGTTGAACACATTTCCATATATCTCTTGGCCATTTGTATCTATTCTTTTGAGAAATATCTAGTCAGGTCTTTTGCCCATATTTAATTGGATTATTTGTTTACTTGCTGTCAAGTTAGCTTAAGTTCATTATGTATTTTGGATATTAACTTTTATTGGATGAATGGCTTACAAACATTTTCTCCCAATCTGTGGATTGTCTTTTCACTCTGTTAATGGTTCCTTTGTTTTGCAGACACTTGTTAGTTTGATGCAGTCCCATTTGTCTACTTTTCTTTTGTTGCCTGTGTTTTTAGGGTCTTATCCAAAAAAATCTTTGTTGAAACCAACATGAACATGCTTACTCCCTGTGACTTATTCTAATAGTTTTACGGACTCAGAACTTATATTTAAATATTTAATGTTATCAGTTTATCTTGGTATGTTATATGAAATAAAGGTCCAATTTTATTCTGTGTGTGGATATACAGCTTTCCCAACACTATTATTCTAGCTGGGTTTTAAGACATTTTTCTCCTTATCAGTAGAGTATGAAATAACATTGTAAACATTTAAAAGAAGGAATGGAGTCATTGTCAAAAAATAAAATTATAGGGTAGCATTGTAACAGAAAACTAATGATTGATAGTTTTATGTCCTTAGTTATAAAAAATAACATGGATATAATCTGAGTTTGAAAAATAAAAAGTAGTGGGGTATTTCCTCAAAGGATGGAAGGTAATCAACATAGACAAATATTTTGGGGTTGAGGAAAGTATCTCTTAGATATGGTGCGTATTTAGAGAAACACATTGCCATTTCTAGAATTTACATGTACACTTAGGATCACTCAAACTATCGACTTTTTAAAAAACTAATGCTAAAGTTCTAATATTCATTTAGCATACAGAAGGAATTTATTAATTTTGGTAAGGTAGATGCAACTTTTATAAAATCGAATAGAAAAAATGAGAAAAAAATATGACATGTTTAATTTGTAGCAAGATTGACTTAAATACTAACTAAACTCATTTTTACTTTACATGTTGTTGTCATGATTTCAGGTAAGTTTATAAGCTGGAAAACCTCCTGTTTTCCAGGTTATTACACATTCATTAAAATGCATCAACAGATAAATAGAAAATAGCCTGTAATTTTTAGATTGTTCATAATGAACAAATCAACAATTCTAAGATTGTTCATTAATTCAGAAAACAGCCTTTAGTTTCAAACAATTGCTTAGTTATTTCTTGATGATGATCTCTCTAGAGAACTTTTACTTCCAAATGACTAAATTCAGAGCTCAACTCAACGATTAATGTAGCTATAAACTATTAACATAAACCACTATATGGTGCAGAGCCTCCCCATTTATTCATCGCCCCTAAGAAATTCTCCAGTCTTAAAATGAACACAGTTTACTCTGAAAAGGGCAGATACTTTAAAGACTATGTATTTATAAAGCCCACTATTTTGTTTTATCACACCTTTGGGTACCTTGAATTACTGGTATTTTTACAATAATGAGTTGAACTTGGAAAAACTTACTTTAAAATAAGTGCTATTGTATTCTATTCTTACTCCAATATTCATTCAAAACTCTGCAGACATTTTCTGTGCTGGTAAATCCCAGAGAACTGGTATGTTTACCTATTTAAAATTACAAAGATTAAAATACATTGGCATTCATCATGAAGCAATAGGATTTACGAATAAGAAGCTCAAGAAAAAGTATTTTACTCACAGTTTCTCTTATATTGATAAAGGCTATGAATTTTATGGAAAATTCTGTTAAAAAATAATTAAAGGTAACAGCTCGAACTGTAACTTATTACAAAAATTAAGGTAGGTCTTCATAATGTTTCCTTTCTTATCAGCGTTTCTTCAGTGCTGGCAGATCCAAGAGAAAAAAAATATTGAAATTCTATACTTGGAATAGTTACAATGGTTTATTGTAAATGGACAGGATAATTTTATTTCTGCTACTGTTGGTTATCTGAGCTCTTCAAACTTAAACCTGGGATTGGGATTAAATAATGGTTTGACTTTGTTTAGGTCCACTTTCTTGTAATCACTTCTTGTTGACATCAAAGAACAAAAAGCAAGGGCATTGAATCTGCAGGCTTGCCTTGTAAGAAAACACATGGAATAAAGCTCCATTTTTCAGGGGACAAAATGCATTCTTCATTTTCATGACAAGATTTCTTGGAAATAGATCAGCATTATAAGGCAAGGCAAAAAAAGCAAAATGAAACTAAAGATTAATGCTCTGCTGCAATGGCATTGAGGCACTGACCTTAGATCTGGACCAGAAAGGCTCATCCTATGTCCTGCACTGCAGAGTACCTTCCTATCACAAAGAAAAAACACCTAAACCTAAAGACATATTTGTTGATCTTTTAAGCTTTTTTTTTTTTTGTAGTTCAGTTACTGGTTAACATTAATAGATTGAGAAGGTTACCTGAGCTGAAATGAGCCCCCAGGCCAGAGAATGTAACATTGAATACTTGAATACAGAGGTAGAAAATAGGGGAGAAAATCACAGTGTCTGTGTTGGAAAACTGAAGAATTTAAATAAAGATATAGTTTTCAAAATCATCCAATTATGTGTGTCTTAGTAGAGTGGGTTCTGCCAACAACCAGACAACTGTGGTCCTCCTCTATGCAGCTTTAGTCATCTAGTTTGGAGAGGCACCTAGATGCCTAGAAACCCCGAGCTGGAAAAGAGAAGTGAATGGATGGTAAACTGACCATGGTTCCTTGGGAAGTGTGTCTACCCTGTCTTAATCCCAATTCGGGTGGTTTTGGTCACCGCCCAGGAGATCTTGGTCTGAGCCCAGGTTTGCCAAGTCCTGTCCTAGCATATCCAATTCACTCAAACTCACAGTCAGCAGAAAAGAGCTAATTTTGCCTCCTGGGTGTAAGGGCCATCACCAGGGAGTAAGCTGGGGGTCCTGTGTGGGAATATGAACAGGGAGATGGATATGAGTTGATTTATAAGTTTTAAATATTTAAGAAATCCAATACAGTAGTCTTATCTGTACTTTTGCCCTACACAGGGATGAGAACGTTCTGCATTTTGCTGGCATATTCAGGCATATTCTGCAGTTTGTCTTCTTCCAAACTGTTGTACTTTTTGTACACTGATTTTCCATAGGCTTTTTTTTTGTCCAAATTAATGAATAATCTTCTTCTATTCTTGATTATAATAACTTGCCCCGGTGTAACTTAAAATTTTCTCCACAAAATAATTTTAAAATTAAATGAAAAAGACAACCTTTCAACTGTGCCCTTGAGAGTGTCCTGTTCCATGTGAAAGGCACTAGCCTCTGAAAGTAGCTGCTGAGGAAGGCTCGGCAGGACATGCCTAAGCAGCTTAGACTCCACACCACTGTGGGTGTTAAACACGTACGGGAGAAAGGTCTCAGGAAAGGGCTTTTGTGAACAGAAGGGTTAGAGCTGTCGGCCTCAGTGCTGCCACTAGGGTCTTATTAGGCACTTCAACAACAGCCTCTCCATCCATTTTCATAGGAAATCTCATAGCCACTTATAGTTACTTAGCAATGACTTAAAAGACCCTGCTGACTCAGACTTTCTCCCTTGGCTGATAGTATGTTACCATTGTACCCTTTTCTCCTTACCATGACCTGTTGGAGATCTTTTTATTTCATCTTTTACTGGTCAAATGGCAAGCAGGAATTAATGTTGTTTAAAGCACTGTAAATATGAGGAAGTACCAGTGTACTGGGATCTCAACAGAGAGATTAAATTTAAATTATCTAGAAGATAAATTGTGTGAAAATCCTGGTTGAGAGAAGGAATGATTAACCTTTGTTTAGTGAGGCCAGGCAGGTGGCTATGTGACATTCTTCCATCAAATTAGAACAAGAAAATGGTCTGTATGGAGTTTATCAGCTTAATGTTTACAAAAATTCTTTCATTAGGTAGTATTCTTAATGCTATGCCCCAAATGAATGAAATAAGAATTTTCATATCTTAGCTATCTTTTTATTTTAACTTCAAGGAAGCTCAGAAAAATATTTAAACTTAAATGTTTATAATTATATTAAATGGTGAGTGCTTTACTTTTCCCTCTCCATGTTTAACATATTTATTGATTTTAGACTGTTCTATGTTGTTTATGTACCTTTACTGATAAAACATATCAAATCACAGTTGAAGGCATATGGGCTGAAATTTCTTAGAATAATAATTCATGTATTAAAGCTATAAGCTTCATGTCTATTTTCTATTTATTTATTTCTTGTATTATTAAGAATAAACCCGTAAGGAAGACATTTATATAGGTAATTCATTTTCAGTTACCTTAAATGAATTGCTCTAGATCACTCAGCAATAATGAAAACTCTAACATCTAGTTTTCTCCAAATCTAGATTGCAAATAATAGCAATATTAAAATAAAAACACATTATTTGGTTTCAGAATAAAATTTACTATGAGACAACAACAAAAAATCTATGAAGTCAAGATCTTTCTGGTTTTCTCAAACTTTTATAGCCTAACAGAATTTAATTTAATGACTGTATAAATGTTTTCTTTCTCATTCAATTAGTCTAACTAAAGAAATAAAATTAATAAAATTCATTACATATATCTTGGCATTAATGATGAAAATCATTATTTTAATGATATTTTCCATCTTGTAAAATTTTTAAAATGAGCAGTTTCAAAAATTAACATAATTCAAGCTTTTTTTAAGTGAAGTAAGGGGACTAGTGACTTGCATAACATATTAAATACCATATATAGTTACATGTGGTAAATGAAAAGAATTATGCTATGTGATGGCAGAGCAGCTTCTAAATTTTTAGCTCAATAAAAGCAACCAAGATATGATTATTATTTTCTTTCATTAAGTAATTAATACTTCCAAACACTTACAGATGGCCAATTCTTGCTGAGACAAGTGAAGATCCTTTCGTCCATAGAATAAAGCTGACTTTTTCCCTTCAGCATTTCCTAACCCAAAGCAAGTCATGCTGTTTACACCTCTATACGGCATATTAAGTTAAATAAAAGAAGACTTACCTTCTTTTGTCACTTTTTTATAGAAACATTTACAGTTTTGTAAATGTTAACACATTCTCACTATTTATGTATGTTTCAGTAACAATTTAAAAACTTTCATGAAATTTTTAGTCTGATATATCTAGTTACCTTCACATTTTACATTTTTCTTTCGTCCTTCAAAAAAAAATCCCAATGTGTTTATAACTTGCAAACATTTGACTTCATGGCCTTTCAAATACTACTTAGCCAAATTTTTTCGTATGTTATAAATATTTGGCAAACTCTTTAGTTATATATATTTTGGCTTGGAGTGCTATAATAAATATAGAATTATCAATAAACTCATTTTCTTATGTAGAGAATGTTGACTTATGAAATAGAATACTTCTGTATTATTACCATTAGCATCATTACAGACCATGTTTCAAAAATTTTAGTTACACACATTTGAATGAAAGTGAACAGATAGCATTTTATTTGGCTTAGACACTGGAATACAAGCATATCTAAGAGAGGATGAAAAAACTTAATACTGTTAAAATTCAACATTTATGTTTCTGCTATGTCTCATTCACTTTCCCAACTGTTCGACTGGTATTAGTTGCAAGGGCAAGCCCTAGGCAAATAGAGAAATAGTTGTTTTTTATACAAGTTGTCATCTCACATGTTCTCTCAGACTGCTCCATTGTCTTGACCCTGCTTAAGCTGGGTTTTATGTACACTTGTGTTTATTTACATGTGTGAGAACTTGCATGTCCTACAGCACACACTCAGAGTCTAAGAAGTCAGCTAGTGAATTAGCTTAATGCATTAAGAGTGTACTAGAGTCATTTGGAGAATACTCTCATAAATTATACACATATAGGCAATATGCTTTCATTTTAACTTGGTCTCATAGAGATACTGTCCTCATATTTAATATTTATTGGCAACTGAAGATTTCAGCTCTTTAAAGAAAGTTTGACTCTAGGTCTTGCAATATGAGCTCAATTTTTTTATTCTATACATTTCTTCACAGCCCTTCACAAAAACTGCTCACGAATAGCTGCAAATTCTCAGGCGGGTTTGTTTGGATATGTACAAGCTATTATTGATGTATCTAAACTTTTGAAAAGTCAACAAATTGAGCTGAAAGTTGGTTACTTCCTGAAGGTAAAGACCCTTTAATTTATCTCTGCAACCTCAGTACCTAGCATAACACCTGGGGCATAGTGGATGCTCAATATATTTTTGTTGAATGAATGAATAAATAAATATACAAATGAGCAAATGAATAAATGAAAAGGCATTATATTCCATGGGAACATAAAATATGTCTGTGTTCTTGAAGATATTCAATAATTTACATTGCTTGGAACTATAATTTACCTACTGCTGAAATGACTTTAAACTTGTTCTTAATAAAAGGCCTTGGTCAAACATAGCTTTGGATTTAAAATGGCCTCTTACATTTTGTACCCTTTGACAAGGTCATCAGAAAATAGTGAGATATTTAATCAACCTTGATCAAACCTAGAAAACATTTTGTCAATTATTTAACCTCATTATGATTGTTACAATACTGAGGAAATTTTAAAAATTGTATAAATTTATATATACTAAATCTTTATACATATGTATGCATCAAAATGTATATTCAATAATACATATACATTCTTCTTACTCATTTAGTAATATTACATATTTAACATAAATAATAGTAATAATAGTATAGTAAATAATAGTATATTTCTCACACATTTTTTAAAACTGCATATTATAACTATAGGCAACTATAGCCTTATTCTTTTTTTTACAGATGAAGAAACAAGAATTTAAATGGGTAAAGTGATTTCCTCAGGGCTACACATTAAATAAGAGTTCAATATATGCCCAATTATTCTGAATCCCAAATAAATGTCCTCTTAATTAAAAGACGATACTTCTTAGCTCTGTAGTAGTGCTCTAAAATTACTCTATAAAATAATTTTGTTTCTTTAAAAGAGGGTATTTGATACTAAAATTCACAAGATCTCAACATCGTAGGCTAATGATAGAGCTTAAGTATATCAGTCTTGAGTAAATTGTATCATTCCAAACATTCATTAATTCATTCATTCAATAAACACTCATTGACCAAATACTTTGAGCGAGGCACTTGGTACAGAAATTAATTTGAAACTGTCTTTCATTTTAAAGAGCTCAGAGTATAGTGAGATGGACAGATGTTACAATAATAAGTCACAGAGAAAAATAATAATTGATAAATAAAATATATGAGCAAGTAACAATAGGAACAAAAGATAAAATTTTGTAAGATGTTTTCATAATTCAGAGATGCTCTGCTTTTATAGACTTGCTCACAGTTAGCCAAATTGAGAGGTGGAGAGTACAGTCCTCCAGATTGTCAAGTCTGTCCAGGTCTTCCAATCCTGACTACAAAGAGTTGGGATCCAGCTACAAAGTTAGAGGAAAGAGTTTACAAAAGGCAATTCTCACTTCTGGCAGAAAATCCAAGTTTGGCAGTTTACCAAAACTACTCTAACCCTAAAAAGACTTGCAGGACTCCGTGAAACATATTATACTCATGGTTTTGTTTATTGCAGGTAAGAGATACAAATTAGAACCAGCCAAAGGAAGAGGTGCGTAGTTCAGGGTCTGGCAGCCTAAATGCAAAGCTTCTGACATCGTCAGGATATATAACCCTTTCACATCAATGTGTGATAATGGGTATGTAGTATTACTATACTAATCCAGGAAGCTCACTCAAGCCTGGGTGTCTAGAGATATTGCTGACTCATTGCACAGCCATAGGTGACTGATTCAGCCCTATGTTTTAATTCCATCTCCTAACCTCAAATAACTCAAAGCCTAAAAACTCTAATAACATAATTGGTCTTTCTGGCGTGCTCAGCTCTCAAACTTAGACTATTGCATATATCTGGCCTGACCTTTAGTCATCTATTTAACATAAACCATCAGATGTGGTCTCATCATGAATGAGGAAGACACTCCTATCACTTGAGAAATTTCAAGTGTTAAGAAGGCTGCCACCCAGAAGCTAAAGACAAAAACAAGCCCTGTCTCTATGGACAAATTCTTTACTACACGAAATTGTATGTAATTTATACATAATACAAACAAACATTTTTATTCTATAATCTGCAAAATTTAATTTCTAGTTAAAATACTCTTAATCAAATCATCTAAGCAGCTGAAATGATTTTCGTGGGATTCTTCTCATTTCTCCCAAAACACCCTCAGAAGAGGGTGTTTTCAAATAGAGAAAATCAGGAATCCACTGAAGAAATGGATTTCCTAAAGACTAAATATTCAACACCTTAATAATTATATGTAATAATAGAGTCATTTACTCTCTTCTGTGGTCAAGGCACTGTGCTAAATGCTGTAAGAGACTCATACAGATGACATTCTCTAGCCTCAAACAGTGCACATTCTACTAATGGAAACAGATATGAGCATTATCTAACTACAATACAGAAAGAGCACATTAAAGCCTACAGTACAAATGCAAAGGGCTATGGAAAAACATACGAAAGAAAGGATTACTTTGAGGTAATATCATATAGGTCATTGAACTTGAATGAGGTTTTAAAGGATAGGTGAATCTTAATTGGAGGACCTTGGGGAGAAGTACATTTCTGCGTACAGTACAGTGAGAAGAATTCAGTGACTTAGAAAAACAGAAAATGTGTTCAGAAAGAATGGTAAACGGGATGTGTGAGTTTCAAACATCATTCGGGGAAAGAAGCTTAAGTTAAATTGGGTTGGATACTAAAGTCCATGAAAAGAAATGTTGACTCTTTTTTTGTAAGCAATTATGATTGCTTACAAAGGAGGCATTTTGCTTATTACGATAATTAATCTGTAGATGGATTGCTGTGAGACTAACAATTTTCTCTTGAAAATTTATATAGTGAGTTTCACTATAATATGAATAATGCACTAATTTATTTAAGTATGGTTTACCCAAGTAATAAAAATAGCAAACCACTGTAATCACAGCACTTTGGGAGGCCGAGGTGGGTGGATCATGAGGTCAGGAGTTCGAGACCAGCCTGACCAAATGGTGAAACCCTGTCTCTACTAAAACTACAAAAATGAGCTCGGTGTGGTGGCAGATGCCTGTAATCCCAGCTACTCAGGAGGCTGAGCCAGGAGAATCACTTGAACCCGGGAGGCCGAGGCCACAGTGAGCAGAGATTGCGCCACTGCACTCCAGCCTGGCAACAGAGTAAGACTCTGTCTCAAAAAAAAAATAAAAGCAAAAAAGCAAAGCCAACATGATACATCATAGAACATGAATGTATATAGTATAGTAAATTTCTTTTGCTATTTTTATTACTTGGGTAAGTCATATTTGGATATCTTGTTGCATTATTCTTACTTTTCCATAATTGTAGAACAGATCAGAATTAATTGATGTGCAGAATTGCAAAGGAAATTTGAGGACATTTGAACAAACCATTGAGAACTTTGAAACTGTGTAATATTAGAAGTTTATTCATGGAATTCTTCAAGATAGCATTTTCTGGTTTTACACTCTATTATCAAATGCTCCTGGAGGATAGGAGATAATTTGTTTTCTATTTCCGTAGACTATAAACATTAAAATGATAAGCCTTATATACATGAGGAATGTGTTTGAAACAAAATTTTGGCACTCATTCAGAGTTCCAAATGATTTTATTTCACAGGCTTATTGACCTCTACCCCTAGAACTATTTGTACCTCAAAGAAAAAAAATGGAAACCTCTTTTCTCTTATCTATGTTTGAATCTGTGTTTTCTTATTGTCATAGACGACTGGTGTTGAAAAGAGTTACAATAATAAAAAATATACCCTCTCAATTCATATAAGTGATGGGTACCTATAAAGGAAGGAAGTTCAAGCATTTGTCCTAGGATTAACACATTGTCATTTATAAAATGTTTCCTTTCCTTTCCTTTCCTTTCCCAAAGCTACCTCTCAGTTTCACCATGATTTTTGTGAGACTTGACTTTTTGTATCAGAAGATTAAATGTTATTCTTTTATTTTAATCTTGCTTTTTCTTTCTTTTATCTGTACCTTAACAAGTTTATACATTATTTGGTTTTCAAATTTTCATTCTTCTAATGACTGACCTACTCTTGGCACTTCATCTTTGTCTCTACCCCCACCTTAAATTATCAATTAAACCCAAATTAAAACAATTTAATTCAGTGCTTATGCTTAGGTCACTAGCCCTTATTCTATACTGTAAGACAGGAGAATCTACAATGAACTCAAACAAATTTACAAGAAAAAAACAAACAACCCCATCACAAAGTGGGCAAAGGACATGAACAGACACTTCTCAAAAGAAGACATTTTTGCAGCCAAAAAACACATGAAAAAATGCTCACCATCACTGGCCATCAGAGAAATGCAAATCAAAACCACAATGAGATATCATCTCACACCAGTTAGAATGGCAATCATTAAAAAGTCAGGAAACAACAGGTGCTGGAGAGGATGTGGAGAAATAGGAACACTTTTACATTGTTGGTGGGACTGTAAACTAGTTCAACCATTGTGGAAGTCAGTGTGGCGATTCCTCAGGGATCTAGAACTAGAAATACCATTTGACCCAGCCATCCCATTACTGGGTATATACCCAAAGGACTATAAATCATGCTGCTATAAAGACACATGCACACGTATGTTTATTGCGGCACTATTCACAATAGCAAAGACTTGGAACCAACCCTAAATGTCCAACAACGATAGACTGAATTAAGAAAATGTGGCACATATACACCATGGAATACTATGCAGCCATAAAAAATGATGAGTTCATGTCCTTTGTAGGGACATGGATGAAATTGGAAATCATCATTCTCAGTAAACTATCGCAAGAACAAAAAACCAAACACCGCATATTCTCACTTATAGGTGGGAATGGAACAATGAGAACACATGGACACAGGAAGGGGAACATGACACTCTGGGGACTGTTGTGGGGTTCGGGGGGGGGGAGGGATAGCACTGGGAGATATACCTAATGCTAGATGACGAGTTAGTGGGTGCAGCGCACCAGCATGTCACATGTATACATATGTAACTAACCTGCACATTGTGCACATGTACCCTAAAACTTAAAGTATAATAATAATAAAAAAGACAGGATTGAATCACAAATCCAAATTCTTTCAGAAAACTTATCATCAGTTAAATTACTAATAGGAACAAAGTGAGGTTGCGATTAGTTTTTTATGAAGTAGTTTGGGTGGGTGATAAGATTTATGGTAATGTTTTATCAATTAAGTATTATAAAACATTTAGTGCATTCCAAAATGATGTGAAACCTATAAATTGAGTAGCTCAGGCACACCATCAGCCTCTCCTTCTTCTCCCTCTCTTATTTCTTCCCTACTACTCAACAGAAAGAATAGTCACACAGTCAGCACTTACAGGTCAAGGGGATGTGTCTCCCTATTCAGCATACTAAATCACTAATAATTTTTTACATTTCTATTTTAGACATCAAATTATTATTTATTTATTTTGTGCTGCATAGTACCTATGTGTGACAGTTACATAAATGATACTTGAAAATTAAAACTAAGACCTCTCTGCAAGGAAAGATACCCAAAGGAAATATTCAAAACAAAGATGGCCACGTAAGTAAGGATATCTAGCATAGTTTGAGGCCACCTGGAAAAGTAAAGGAGTCAGGACAGCTTGTATCAAATCAATAATTTTAATTTCAGTTCCGTGTTAAATGATAAATCATGGTGTCAAGACGGCCTTGATATTTGGTGAAGCTGTTACTGCTGGTGCCATATAAAACATATCACACAACTCTGGCTGCAGTCCCCTGTCATTATCGATATCATCTGGATTTTGCAAAGGGGGAAATGTCAAAATTGATTGATTATACTGATTAAAATGATACACTGACAGGCTTCATAAATTTGCAGCACACAATGCACATTAGAGCATATTACCTCATTTAGCATTCAAATAGGTCTACAAAATAGAAGGGGCAAAATAATATTACTCCTCCTATGATGGAATGATATCTGGGAAAGTTCAAGTGACTTGATAAGAAATGACATGTTAGTTGATGAAAATCAGGATTCCAACAGTGACTTTTCTTCTCCCCAACCCGGAGTCCCTCATAAGCAACTAAGGCAATGGGCTACCAGACCATTTTCTTAGGTTGCAAACTCTAGACCCTATGAGATAAGCTCACTTTTATAAGTGGTAATGAAGACAACACTAAAAAGTGGAAATATTAATAGTACCCTCCCTGGCACCAGGCAGACCTGATTTGAGCTCCAGCACTGCCTTTTAATCTATAATCTTAAACAAATTGTTTAATCTCTCTGAGTCTTGGTTTTGCAAATTGGGCTTTAAAAGGCCTGGCTTTGTAGGATTTCTTTTTTTTTTTTTTGAGACAAGAGTCTTGCTCTGTTGCTTAGGCTGGAGTGCAGTGGCGCGATCTCGGCTCACTGCAAGCTCTGCCTCCCGGGTTCACGCCGTTCTCCTGCCTCAACCTCCCGAGTAGCTGGAACTACAGGCGCCCGCCACCACGCCTAGCTAATGTTTTGTATTTTTTTAGTACAGACGGGGTTTCATCTTGTTGGCCAGGATGGTCTCAATCTCCTGACCTCGTGATCCACCCGCCTCGGCCTCCCAAAGTGCTGGGATTACAAGCGTGAGCCACCCCGCCGGGCCTGACTTTGTAGGATCTCTGTAAGGATTAGAAACATTTGTGTATTCGTTTGCATGTTAATTTTCAATACATGCTATTTGCCCAGTGAGGTGTCAGAGCTCTGGCAATGGAGAGTGGTTGGATTGTGGGTGGTAAAAAGAATTTACCAACAACAGTGTAGGTTTGAAAAGGAAAGTTTTATTAGATAGAAAGAGTGCCTCAGAGTGCAGGAGAGAGCTTTAGCAAGAGAGGACTGAACACACTGTGGTGGACTTTCCTTAGGGTAATTTATAGACCTTGTAGCTGGAGTTTAAGGGTAATTTGGACCATATTAGCCACATATGATAAATCGTCATGATAAATGATTACATTTGTAGACATTTTGGTGCCTTGATGTCAGCAAGGGTTGCACAATGAGTTCTGACATGCATTCATTCTGGAGATGTACAGAAATTCTAGTTACTTAAAAATTTTTGGGAAGAAGCCAAACATACCAGATGCCAGCTTTAGAAAACAGTGAAGTCTAATTACTTCTGAATTCCTCAGATAAGGAGTTTTACTTCCGGATGGTCTGCTTGATGGCCATCAGGTGATCTTTGCTCTCCTTGCTATTATTATTCATTTCATAATTTGTGCTCTGAACAACGAAAGGAAGTAAATGACATTGTCCTAATTTAAGTGGTACAGACACTGAAGCACAGAAATGTTAAAAAAGATTGCTCAAGATCACACTCCTGGTCAGTGGTATAGTCAGGGTGCCAATCCACATATGTATAACTTCATATATCTTATTTTTAATATGAAAATTCCAGTTCATATTACAGCACAATCATGGAGATGTGGGGCCAAGAATAAATAAGAAGCACAATTAGTCTTGTCTATTAATTGGATCCCTATTTCTACATTTAAAAACAACAATGGCTAAACCAATAAAGAAAATATTGATGGGAAATTTAATTTTTCCATGGTGTGAAGTTAGTTATTATCTCACAGATTACATAATGTTTAAAGTGGGGAAAATGAAACTTTACTTCGGAGAAACAGGGCTGACAACAGCTTAACTGTGCAATACATCTCAATGGATCACTAAGTGTCAGACAACCAGACATTATGTGGCCCCTACTGACACAGTGTCACTTATGAAGTAGAATTCTCTCCAAAAATGTATAATCTATAGTGGCTCACCCCGAGAGATTCTCCCAAATAAAATTTCAGCAAGCTTTTTGTAGAAATTGCTAAACTAATTCTAAAATTCATCTAAAAATGTAAATAACTTAGAATGGCCAAAACAATCTTAAAGAACAAAGTTGGAAGACTCACGTTACCTGATTTCAAGAATTTTTATAAAGCTACTTTTTTCAAGGAACTGCTGTATCAGCATAAAGATAAAGAAATAGATCAGTCAACCAGAATAGAGTCCAGAAAGAGACCCATGCATGTAGGGATGACTAAAGCTCTAAAAAACTGTAGAAGCCATTCACTGAAAGAAGAGCACTCTTTTCAGTAAATGATGACGAAGCTATTAGATATCCATATGCAAAAATATAATAATTTGGATACATACCTTACACCATTTATAAAAACATATCTGTAAATGGATCATACTTGTAAATATAAAATTTAAAACTATAAAATAATGAGAAGAAAACTTAGGAGAACATCTTTTTAACTTTCAGTTAGTGAAAGATTTTATAGGCATGACACTAAAAACACATCCATAAAAGAAAAACTAAAACATAAACTGGATTTCCCCCAAAATAAAAAATGTATGCTCCTCCAAACACATTATTAACATTTTTTAAAAGTCTAAAAAAAATTGCAAATCATGTAAATTATAGAATTTGTATCTAGTATAAACAACTAAAAGCTCAATAATAAGTAAACAAATGACTTAACTAAAAATCAGCAAGATCTTCAAAGACTGAAATTGAAGACCTAAAACTATAAAACTCTAGAAGATAACATCAGAAAAACTCTTCTAGACATTTGTTTAGGCAAAGAATCTAAGACAAAGAACCTAAAAGCAAATGCAACAAAAACAAAAATAAATAAATAAGACCTAATTAAATTAAAAAGCTTCTGCACAGCAAAATAAATAATAAGCAGAATAAACAGACAACCCCTAGAGGGGGAGAAAATATTTGTAAACTATACATCTGACAATGGACTAATATCCAGAATCTACAAGGAATTCAAAGAAATCGGCAAGAAAAAAATAATCAATTCAAAAAGTGGGTAAAGGGCATAAATATACAATTCTCAAAAGAAGATATACAAACAGCCAACAAGCATATGAAAAAATACTCAACATCACTAATCATCAGGGAAATGCAAATTAAAACCACAATGAGATATCACCTTTAAATGGCGATAATTAAAAAGTCAAAAATAGTAGATGTTGGCATGGATGTTATGAAAAGGAAATACTTTCAGACTAAGGAAATCTCCATATTTAATGGAGTTTCCTTAAAGAATTAAAAGTAGAACTACCATTCAATCCAGCAATCCCAGTACTGGGTATCTACCCAAAGGAAAAGAAGTCATTATACAAAAAACACACATGCACATGCATGTTTATAGCAGCACAGTTCTCATTTGCAAATATATGAAAGCAATCTAAGTGCCCATCAACCAATGAGTGGATAAAGAAAATGTAGTATATATATACACCATGGACTACTACTCAGCTATAAAGAAGAATGAAATAATGTCTTTTGCAGCAACTTAGACGGAGCTGGAGGCCATTATTCTAAGTGAAACAACTCAGAAATGAAAAACCAAATATTGTATGTTCTTACATACAAGTGGGAGTTAAGTTATGAGGACACAAAGGCATAAGAATGATACAATGGACTTTGGGGACTCAGGGGAAGGCTGGGGAGGGATAAAGGATAAAAGACTACATATTGGGTACAGTTTACACTGTTCTGGTGACAAGTACACTAAAATCCTAGAAATCACCACTAAAGACCTTATCCATGAAACCAAAAACCATCTCTACCCCAAAAACTATTGAAATATTTTTTAAAAAAAAAAGAAATTACTGCTTCTGGAAAAAAAAATAAGCAATATCCATAAGATAAGCCTTAAATCAGAACTGTAACAACCTATATTTGGAGTTGCTTTTGCTTTGTTTTGTTTTCAAAGATCATTTTTTAAAAAAAGAGATCACTTAGGGCAAGGATGTATTTTTTCTCCTACCCTAATGTCAGCAATACCAACCAATCTGTATTCCTTACCTCAGTTTTTCCAGGTGCACTGGCTCAAAAATAATTATTATTTTGTTTGCTCCCCTTTTTCTTCACTGCTACATTCACCTAGTCAACAAATTCTGCTATTTATATTATCAAACCCTCTGTGATATTCATATACTTCTCATATTTGCACTACCATTGTACAGCTCCTGAACCATAGCTTCATCCTCTTACATATGGTTCCTCCCCTCTATAATCCTTTTAACCAATTGCAGCAAGATTAGTTTTCTAAAACAGATTATGTGATCCTGTGTTAACCCCTGCTCCCAAATTTCAGGTTGTCTTCAATGTAAAGGGAAAATAATTGTTGGCCTGTAATTTAAAGCATTTCATAAATTTCTTTTTATTCTTTGGCAACTTTGTTTTCTATACCACCTGACCAATGGAATGTATGCCTTAGCCTCATCAGTGTCTTTACCATTCCCTAAATACCTCTCACTCTGCACACGGATGATCCTTCACCCAAACTGTACTCTCCAACTAAGCCACCTATACTTTCAATCAATTATTCTCTAAAATTCCAGTTCAAACTTCAGGTCTTATTCTCAAATAAGCTTTTTCATATTTCTTTTGTTGAAATAAATCTTTCCTTCATTTATGATAAACTATGTAATGGTTGTTGTTATAATATTAATATTAGAGTTTTCAAAAGTGTCCCTTTTCCACTAAATTATGAATTTCTAGAGATTGAGCATCTTGTATTTTAATCAACACATCCTCCAAATACAGAATACCATCCTTACCAAATATTAGGCACTGCATATCCTTACGAAATATTAGGCACTACAAATACAATGACAAGAAAGACTAGACTGGAATCTGTAGTATCCTACTGTCCATGCATTGTTCTCAGAGGAAGATAAGTCCTCTTTCTAACTAAAAGACCTGGAAATGGACAGACAGAACAACTTAGAACAAATTCCGACCACATCACATGCATTCATTTTTGAAACTTCTAAAACACACAACTATTATTAGTAAACATATTTATAATATGTGTGATATCTTTAGTGTTTTCATTATATGTTTGGGAAGTTAAGAAAATATTTTAATAAAAGTTATTTTATTACTTAGTTTTAATAAGACCACTGCATTAAAGCAAAATCTTATTCCCAAAGCGTACTTACTTTTAAGTAATTATTTTGTCTAATTACATAAACTTCTGTTTGAAGAGTCGAAAATTTTAAATGATACATAACATTATTAGTTGAACACCATCTTACTTGTGATTTGAGGGGAAGAAAATCAAAGACTATTATTAAATACTTTGTTGTGGTTTTACCTTTGTCCAGATCACAGCTTGGTTTGCCAGAACATGGGCTGCGTGCTGGCTAGGCAGGACTAAGAGTAAAATTTTCAGTGCGGGCACCTAATACAACTAAAAAATGTTTTTAAATTTATTTTTCCCGACACTCTATCAACTCAAAACATCTGCACACAGTATTCGCAATGCAGTGACAGATACAGATACCTGGATAAGGGGAGCAGACATTAACTCAGAAAGGAAGATTGTCTCTTTAATAGCAAAAAATGGGCTAAGATTATCATATATTCCTTGACCTGTCTTTACTGTACTATGGTTTATCTAGATCTTTAGGCATTATTATGTCCTGACTGTACTACCTACAATTAATATGAATATGGATATTCTTTTTGAAAAAAGGGGCATTTTTTAATTCACTTGCAAATTGGAATGCTCAAACTGCTTCCCTCTGGATCATTTTTTTTAATCAGTTCCCTTCAGTATTCTCTCTGAGGACCACAATGCAATAGGATCCAAGATTATTGTATTCCAGTGCTCCTAAATATTCCTCTTGAGGAAAGTGTAAGTGATATTGATGAGGAAAAAATAGAACACTTGTCTTTTGAATGGTGTGACAATTGATGTAGCATCTTCAAAGCTGTGTACGAACAAGAGGCACTATAAGGTTATAAATACTAAAGGAAGATCATCATTATTCATGTGATGGAAATAATCATTCAGTTAAACACCAGTAAGAACATCATTAGATTTAGAAGTACATCGCTATCTTTTCATGCTATCTTTTCATGTGAGAGATCCTTTCTACAGAAAGTAATAAAGGAATCCAATTTGTAAAGAAGTATTTTTACTAATAGAACCATTTATTTCTGGTCTACTGATATAATGCCATAATCTTGTTATCATAATGTAGACAATTTTGTTAACGTGATGATTCTGTCAGCATAATGGGAAGAGTAAATACTAGGATGACAGTATAAATGGAGAAAATCTCTACAAAAGTAGATCTCCCATCTCTCTTTCTGAGGCTGTGTTTATTAGAAACATAAGTTATAAACATAACCTGAAAAATTCCACACAGTTATTACTTCACAATAATAATATTGTTCACAAAAGGTTCACAGAAATTACAGTGTTAGTCTACAGCCATACCACCCTGAACACACCTGATCTCTCATCTGATCTCGGAAGCTAAGCAGGGCCGGGCCTGGTTAGTACTTGGATGGGAGAAATTATAAGGTTAAAAAGTAATCGTGAGTATCTAATGATAGAAATGTTCCTATCTAAGCCTGTTCTCACTTTCCCTTTTTTTTTCATAAAATGTGTGTGGCATAATTATGCTAGCAGTTTACATGAATGAAGTGAAATATTTCTAAATCATAAAGTAAGTTTATGCAATCCCTTAGCACCAGATATAACTGGTAGTCCCATTCAATTATGTCGAATTGAATCACCTGATTTTTAAGTTCAAAGATACTGCCTTCAGTACTTTTGGCATCTGCACATTGCACATTAAAAACATCAAATTCTCAAGATACAAGTTCCTCATATCAGTGTCCTTTGTGGCAACATGGATGGAGCTGGAGGCTGTTATCCCAAGCGAACTAATATAAGAACAGAAAACCAAACACTGCATGTTCTAACTTATAAGTAGGAGCTAATCACTGAGTATACATGGACACAAAGAAGGGCACAATAGACACTGGGGCCTGCTTAAGGGTGGAGGATGGCAGGAGTGTGAGGATGGAAAACTACCTTATTACCTGGGTGATGAAACAATATGTACACCAAACACTTATAACACGTAATTTATCTGTAGAACCAACCTGAACATGTACCTCTGAAACTAAAATAAAAGTTAAAAGACAGAACCTCACATCAAAACTGCTGTAGGCTATTTAGAAAAATATAAATAAAAAAGGAGAAATACAATGTGATCCAAGTAAATTGGAGTTTTAGTATAAGTAACACGGCTGTAAATGCAGTAGTTTTGAAAAATCATATGCTATTCAAGCAGAACTCCCTGTAGGTTCCTGAATGTTTTGGAGGCCAAAAGCTCTAACGTCCATTTGATCAATTTCATTTTAGCACCGGGACAAAAGCTGTCAAATTGCCATTAAACCGAGTTTCTCTCTATTCTAAAGTACAGAAACAACACTGAATTAAAAAAAAAAAATCAGGCAAAGTCAGTGTCTCCACCAGTTATAACATGAAAATTACATGAAGGAAATACTTCCAATAAGAGATAATGCTAATGAGAAAGCACAACAACTGTAACAGATTTTTTTACTTGCAAAAATGTATGTGTATGTGTATATGTGTTTTTCTCATCAAATCACCAAAGAAAAAATTTAAACACAATTATCTTAACATATTCAAATGTAGGAGAGTTTTACAGAGAAGAATATAATGTGACAATAATACTTACCAGTGCATTCTAAGGTCTGTTAGACCAACCTTAGGAATACACTAGACTTTACAAAGCACAACAAAATCATCAATTTATTAAACATCAGTGATTTGTGTTAGAAAACTAAAAACTAAGTATATTATGCCTTTTTTGCTGTTTCAAAAAAGAATAGATGCTGTGTCTTTGAATTTGTCCTTAACTTCATTACTCTATAGAATTTATTCTCTCGTGACTCTCTAGGAGAAAATCCAAGATAATTGCTATTTAAACGAATAGCTTTTGCTTCATTGTGGGAAAGTAACTATTTATATGTTATTTAATTGTTGAAGACTTTAATAGCCATAATATTATGTTTTCTGCTTTCTGTTGGTTTGAAGTTGACTTCAAACAAGCAGAACCTAATACATCAATTTCTAGGGACATTTCTAATTGCCAAATGAAGATATATGCTAACACATTCTTTTTATTCTATTTAATAAGTGAACAGTTAGAATCTTAAATTTTGTTCACTAATAAAAAGTTAGTAAAATAAATTAAGGACAACTTTCAGATGACAAGCTATGAATTGCAAATCTAGATTCTATCATTTAAATGTGTATCTACCAATCTAGAAGAATTTGTCTTATACACTTCTCCATGAAGATATAACATAATAAGAGATAAAGAAGAAAATACAGTACCTACAGTTATTTCTCTTAAACAGTGTATGATTTTGAGCAATTCAAAACACCAAAGTAACAAATAACCTTTTAACAAAAATGTATAAGAATTGTGAATTACCATAATTTTAGTTTGACAGTAATTACTTTATTAAACAATACTCTATAAGAACAAAACCGGAGAAACAGGGGGAGGAGCCAAGATGGCCAAATAGGAACAGCTCCGGTCTACAGCTCCCAGCATGAGCGACGCAGAAGACAGGTGATTTCTGCATTTCCATTTGAGGTACCGGGTGCATCACACTAGGGAGTGCCAGACAGTGGGCGCAGGCCAGTGGGTGCACGCACTGTGCGCCAGCCGAAGCAGGGCGAGGCATTGCCTCACCTGGGAAGCGCAAGGAGTCAGGGAGTTCCCTTTCCGAGTCAAAGAAAGGGGTGATGGACACACCTGGAAAATCGGGTCACTCCCACCCGAATATTGCGCTTTTCAGACCGGCTTAAAAAATGGCGCACCACGAGACTATATCCCACACCTGGCTCGGGGGGTCCTACGCCCACGGAATCTCGCTGATTGCTAGCACAGCAGTCTGAGATCAAACTGCAAGGTGGCAGTGAGGCTGGGGGAGGGGCGCCCGCCATTGCCCAGGCTTGCTTAGGTAAACAAAGCAGCTGGGAAGCTCGGAGCTGGGTGGAGCCCACCACAGCTCAAGGAGGCCTGCCTGCCTCTGTAGGTTCCACCTCTGGGGGCAGGGCACAGACAAACAAAAAGACAGCAGTAACCTCTGCAGACTTAAATGTCCCTGTCTGACAGCTTTGAAGACAGCAGTGGTTCTCCCAGCACGCAGCTGGAGATCTGAGAACCAGCAGACTGCCTCCTCAAGTGGGTCCCTGACCCCTGACCCCCGAGCAGCCTAACTGGGAGGCACCGCCCAGCAGGGGCACACTGACACCTCACACGGCAGGGTATTCCAACAGACCTGCAGCTGAGGGTCCTGTCTGTTAGAAGGAAAACTAACAAACAGAAAGGACATCCACATCTAAAACCCATCTGTACATCACCATCATCAAAGACCAAAAGTAGATAAAACCACAAAGATGGGGAAAAAACAGAACAGAAAAACTGGAAACTCTAAAACACAGAGCGTCTCTCCTCCTCCAAAGGAACGCAGTTCCTCACCAGCAACAGAACAAAGCTGGATGGAGAATGACTTTGACGAGTTGAGAGAAGAAGGCTTCAGATGATCAAATTACTCTGAGCTACAGGAGGACATTCAAACCAAAGGCAAAGAAGTTAAAAACTTTGAAAAAAATTTAGAAGAATGTATAACTAACTAGAATAACCAATACAGAGAAGTGCTTAAAGGAGCTGATGGAGCTGAAAACCAAGGCTCGAGAACTACGTGAAGAATGCAGAAGCCTCAGGAGCCGATGCGATCAACTGGAAGAAAGGGTATCAGCGATGGAAGATCAAATGAATGAAATGAAGCGAGAAGGGAAGTTTAGAGAAAAAAGAATAAAAAGAAATGAGCAAAGCCTCCAAGAAATATGGGACTATGTGAAAAGACCAAATCTACGTCTGATTGGTGTACCTGAAAGTGATGGAGAGAATGGAACCAAGTTGGAAAACACTCTGCAGGATATTATCCAGGAGAACTTCCCCAATCTAGCAAGGCAGGCCAACGTTCAGATTCAGGAAATACAGAGAACGCCACAAAGATATTCCTCGAGAAGAGCAACTCCAAGACACATAATTGTCAGATTCACCAAAGTTGAAATGAAGGAAAAAATGTTAAGGGCAGCCAGAGAGAAAGGTCGGGTTACCTTCAAAGGGAAGCCCATCAGACTAACAGCAGATCTCTCAGCAGAAACCCTACAAGCCAGAAGAGAGTGGGGGCCAATATTCAACATTCTTGAAGAAAAGAATTTTCAACACAGAATTTCGTATCCAGCCAAACTAAGCTTCATAAGTGAAGGAGAAATAAAATACTTTACAGACAAGCAAATGCTGACCGATTTTGTCACCACCAGGCCTGCCCTAAAAGAGCTCCTGAAGGAAGCGCTAAACATGGAAAGGAACAACCAGTACCAGCCGCTGCAAAATCATGCCAAAATGTAAACACCATCGAGACTAGGAAGAAACTGCGTCAACTAATGAGCAAAATCACCAGCTAACATCATAATGATAGGATCAAATTCACACATAACAATATTAACTTTAAATATAAATGGACTAAATTCTTCAATTAAAAGACACAGACTGGCAAATTGGATAAAGAGTCAAGATCCATCAGTGTGCTGTATTCAGGAAACCCATCTCATGTGCAGAGACACACATAGGCTCAAAATAAAAGGATGGAGGAAGATCTACCAAGCAAATGGAAAACAAAAAAAGGCAGGGGTTGCAATCCTAGTCTCTGATAAAACAGACTTTAAACCAACAAAGATCAAAAGAGACAAAGAAGGCCATTACATAATGGTAAAGGGATCAATTCAACAAGAAGAGCTAAATATCCTAAATATATATGCACCCAATACAGGAGCACCCAGATTCATAAAGCAAGTCCTGAGTGACCTACAAAGAGACTTAGACTCCCACACATTAATAATGGGAGACTTTAACACACCACTGTCAACATTAGACAGATCAACAAGACAGAAAGTCAACAAGGATACCCAGGAATTGAACTCAACTCTGCACCAAGCGGACCTAATAGACATCTACAGAACTCTCCACCCCAAATCAACAGAATATACATTCTTTTCAGCACCACTTCGAACTTATTCCAATATTGACCACATAGTTGGAAGTAAAGCACTCCTCAGCAAATGTAAAAGAACAGAAATTATAACAAACTCTCTCTCAGACCACAGTGCAATCAAACTAGAACTCAGGATTAAGAATTCCACTCAAAGCCGCACAACTACATGGAAACTGAACAACCTGCTCCTGAATGACTACTGGGTACATAACGAAATGAAGGCAGAAATAAAGATGTTCTTTGAAACCAAAGAGAACAAAGACACAACATACCAGAATCTCTGGGACACATTCAAAGCAGTGTGTAGAGGGAAATTTATAGCACTAAATGCCCACAAGAGAAAGCAGGAAAGATCCAAAATTGACACCCTAACATCACAATTAAAAGAACTAGAAAAGCAAGAGCAAACACATTCAAAAGCTAGCAGAAGGCAAGAAATAACTAAAATCAGAGCAGAACTGAAGGAAATAGAGACACAAAAAACCCTTCAAAAAATCGATGAATCCAGGAGCTGGTTTTTTGAAAGGATCAACAAAATTGATAGACCGCTAGCAAGACTAATGAAGAAAAAAAGAGAGAAGAATCAAATAGACACAATAAAAAATGATAAAGGGGATATCACCACCGATCCCACAGAAATACAAACTACCATCAGAGAATACTACAAACACCTCTACGCAAATAAACTAGAAAATCTAGAAGAAATGGATAAATTCCTCGACACATACCCTCTCCCAAGACTAAACCAGGAAGAAGTTGAATCTCTGAATAGACCAACAACAGGAGCTGAAATTGTGGCAATAATTAATAGTTTACCAACCAAAAAGAGTCCAGGACCAGATGGATTCACAGCCGAATTCTACCAGAGGTACAAGGAGGAACTGGTACCATTCCTTCTGAAACTATTCCAATCAACAGAAAAAGAGGGAATCCTCCCTAACTCATTTTATGAGGCCAGCATCATTCTGATACCAAAGCTGGGCAGAGACACAACCAAAAAAGAGAATTTTAGACCAGTATCCTTGATGAACATTGATGCAAAAATCTTCAATAAAATACTGGCAAACCGAATCCAGCAGCACATCAAAAAGCTTATCCACCATGATCAAGTGGGCTTCATCCCTGGGATGCAAGGCTGGTTCAATATATGCAAATCAATAAATGTAACCCAGCATATAAACAGAGCCAAAGACAAAAACCACATGATTATCTCGATAGATGCAGAAAAAGCCTTCGACAAAATTCAACAACCCTTCATGCTAAAAACTCTCAATAAATTAGGTATTGATGGGACGTATTTCAAAATAATAAGAGCTATCTATGACAAACCCACAGCTAATATCATACTGAATGGGCAAAAACTGGAAGCATTCCCTTTGAAAACTGGCACAAGACAGGGATGCCCTCTCTCAGCACTCCTATTCAACATAGTGTTGGAAGTTCTGGCCAGGGCAATTAGGCAGGAGAAGGAAATAAAGGGTATTCAATTAGGAAAAGAGGAAGTCAAATTGTCCCTGTTTGCAGACGACATGATTGTATATCTAGAAAACCCCATTGTCTCAGCCCAAAATCTCCTTAAGCTGATAAGCAACTTCAGCAAAGTCTCAGGATACAAAATCAATATACAAAAATCACAAGCATTCTTATACACCAACAACAGACAAACAGAGAGCCAAATCATGAGTGAACTCCCATTCACAATTGCTTCAAAGAGAATAAAATACCTAGGAATCCAACTTACAAGGGATGTGAAGGACCTCTTCAAGGAGAACTACAAACCACTGCTCAAGGAAATAAAAGAGGATATAAACAAATGGAAGAACATTCCATGCTCACGGGTAGGAAGAATCAATATCGTGAAAATGGCCATACTGCCCAAGGTAATTTACAGATTCAGTGCCATCCCCATCAAGCTACCAATGACTTTCTTCACAGAATTGGAAAAAACTACTTTAAAGTTCATATGGAACCAAAAAAGAGCCCGCATTGCCAAGTCAATCCTAAGCCAAAAGAACAAAGCTGGAGGAATCACACTACCTGACTTCAAACTATACTACAAGGCTATAGTAACCAAAACAGCATGGTACTGGTACCAAAACAGAGATATAGATCAATGGAACAGAACAGAGCCCTCAGAAATAACGCCGCATATCTACAACTATCTGATCTTTGACAAACCTGAGAAAAACAAGCAATGGGGAAAGGATTCCCTATTTAATAAATGGTGCTGGGAAAACTGGCTAGCCATATGTAGGAAGCTGAAACTGGATCCCTTCCTTACACCTTATACAAAAATCAATTCAAGATAGATTAAAGATTTAAACATTAGACCTAAAACCATAAAAACCCTAGAAGAAAACCTAGGCATTACCATTCAGGACATAGGCATGGGCAAGGACTTCATGTCCAAAACACCAAAAGCAATGGCAACAAAAGACAAAATTGACAAATGGGATCTAATTAAACTAAAGAGCTTCTGCACAGCAAAAGGAACTACCATCAGAGTGAACAGGCAACCTACAAAATGGGAGAAAATTTTCACAACCTACTCATCTGACAAAGGGCTAATATCCAGAATCTACAATGAACTCAAACAAATTTACAAGAAAAAAACAAACAACCCCATCAAAAAGTGGGCAAAGGACATGAACAGACACTTCTCAAAAGAAGACATTTATGCAGCCAAAAAACACATGAAAAAATGCTCATCATATCAGAGAAATGCAAATCAAAACCACTATGAGATACCATCTCACACCAGTTAGAATGGCAATCATTAAAAAGTCAGGAAACAACAGGTGCTGGAGAGGATGTGGAGAAATAGGAACACTTTTACACTGTTGGTGGGACTGTAAACTAGTTCAACCATTGTGGAAGTCAGTGTGGCGATTCCTCAGGGATCTAGAACTAGAAATACCATTTGACCCAGCCATCCCATTACTGGGTATATACCCAAAGGACTATAAATCATGCTACTATAAAGACACATGCACACGTATGTTTATTGCGGCATTATTCACAATAGCAAAGACTTGGAACCAACCCAAATGTCCAACAATGATAGACTGGATTAAGAAAATGTGGCACATATACACCATGGAATCCTATGCAGCCATAAAAAATGTTGAGTTCATGTCCTTTGTAGGGACATGGATGAAATTGGAAATCATCATTCTCAGTAAACTATCGCAAGAACAAAAAACCAAACACCTCATATTCTCACTCATAGGTGGGAATTGAACTATGAGAACACATGGACACAGGAAGGGGAATATCACACTCTGGGGACTGTGGTGGGGTCGGGGGAGGGGGGAGGGATAGCATTGGGAGATATACCTAATGCTAGATGATGAGTTAGTGGGTGCAGCACACCAGCATGTCACATGTATACATATGTAACTAACCTGCACAATGTGCACATGTACCCTAAAACTTAAAGTATAATAAAAAAAAAAAAAAAGAAATTCTGTACCAACAGAAAAAAAAAAAAAAAAAGATCAGAAACAAGGTAAAAAAAAAAAAAAAAAAAAGAACAAAACCCGTCATGTGTCAAGGCTGTGTTTGGTCACATGGTTGAAAATATATGTTGGTGATCTGGTTGAAAAAAATACAGATAATAATAACAATAGTATGTAAATATATGCATATATACAAAAATAAACAAGTAAAAAAAGAGCCAGAAAATTGTTTCTATTTTGAAGACAATAAAACAGGAAAATAGAGTAGAGAAAACTGGGTTGGGGACACTACCAAGGTGCTTAGGTAAAATCTTCTGAGATTAAAGGCAAAAGGCAAAGTTTTGGGGTGAGCATAAACTAGCTATACGTAAGGAAAAAAATATGTCCAAAAAGTATAAAGATGAATGAGAAGAGAGTTAGGAATTTAGAGCAAGGACTTGAACAGAAGCTGATTCTACAAAGACTTGGAAGCTATGGTGTAGAGACTGGATTTTATTTGAATAACAGTGGAAAATTCTTTTTTAGTTAAGGAGAAAGGTAATATAATTTCTGATTTTGAAAGATCATTCTGGCTGATAGAGATGACCAAACTGTACTAGGGAAGAAATGAAAGCAATAAGAATAATTAAGGAGCTATTGTGTCAGTCAAAGCAAGAGATGATGATAGTTTGAACTAGGGAGAAAATGGGAAAAATAATGTGATCAAATAAAACACATATTTTGGAGATGGAAATAATATAACTTTCCAATAGATGATATGAGATAGTGGTCATAACCTAAAGAAAGAACTAAAACATAAATTTTAGGTTTGGAGTTTGAATGACTGGATAGATTATGGTGCCATATATTGAAATGGGAAAGTTCTACTCTTGGAAAAGGTGAAGTAGTTTATGTCATATCAATGCTCCTGTAGATAATAATTATAAACTCTGGACCAATTTTTTTTAAATCAATTATCTGAAATAGTGAAAGTGAATAAAACCAGAAACAAACTGCAGGGAACTTGATAATTAGATGAAATAAGCAGTACTGGATGAGTTTTCTAGTTTTATGGCTGTTTGGAAGAAGATACTTCCCAATCAGTGCCTTATATGAAGAGCTAAAATTCAGAGAACATTGACAACTTTTTGGCTGAAATATCACAAGACAGAATTTGAGGAAAACACCGAAGCTAGGAATTGGTAAATCCACAAAGGGAGGAGAGAGTCACAGAGAATCCAATATTCTGCTTATATGCTCTGAACAAATAAATAGAAAATTACTGAATTATGTATAAATTGAATGAACTCAAAGCATCCCACTAAAGCTAAAAGAGCTAAAACAAGCTTCAGCTGGTGCCTAATAAAGCAGATAAATAATTTAGAGTTTGAGTTCAACTAAATTAACTGCCAATCAAATGAAATAAAATAAACCATGAAAATATTTACAGAAACAGAATAGAATCACTACATATACAATTTACAATGTCTAGTATACAAGCAAAATAAATTAGACAGATTTTTTAAAAACAGGAAATGAAAATTCAATCAAGAAAAAAAGAATGTAGATGAATGATGAGATGTTTCTATTATTAGAGAGAGATTTATAAAGATGCTATTAAAAGTATGTACAAGAACATAATGATGGACGGAAGGAAGAAAGGAAGGAAGGAGGGAGGGAAAGAAGAAAGGGAAGGAAGGAAGGAGGGTGGGAGGGAAAGAAGGAAGGAAGGAAGGAAGGAAGGGAAAAAAGAAAAAAGAAAACTGTCAATATTGAATTCTGCATTCAATGAAGTTACCCTTCAAAAATTAAGAAAGATATTTTCAAATAAAAAAGTCTAATAGAAGTTGTTGCCAGCACAGCTGCATCACAAAAAGATGCTAAAGGAAATTATTCAGATTGAAAACTAGTAAGACCAAATGAAAACTCAGTCTCAGGAAGGAAAGGAGAGCATCGGAAATGGTAAATGTGTGAGTGTAAAATATTATTTCCTTAATTTCTTTAAAACACATCAATTTAAAAAAATGTACAACTATATACTCTGAGGTTTACGGATGTAATACCTTAGATTGAAATATACTTAAAGGCCATATGAAACTATCCACAATATTCTCAAATTTTACATGAAGTAGTACAAAATTAAGTCTAATTAGAATTATGAAAAGTTAAGAAAATATACTGTAATCCCTCGAACAGTCACTAAAAATAACACAAAGAGGTATAGTTTAAAAGCTGAAAGAGAAATTAAATAATAAAAAGATCAAAAATGAAATAAAAATAGGAACAGAGGAACAAAATTTGGATTATAAACAAAAAACATAGAACAAAATGATATAATTAAATAGACATTACTTAATAATTGCATATCAGCCTTCCATCATCCAATTGAACAAGAGAGACTCCATGTCAAGACACCTTCAGTCAACGCATCTCAGTCACGTCTCTAGTGCCTGGGTCTCAAATATGAAACAGCTAAGGATTACTAGGTATTTGAGGGAAATCTGTAATTTTAAAGATAATAACAAAAAAACAAAATGACAACAGACAACAATAGCAAAAGAAAAAGGAAATTTGAAAATATAAGAAAAATAAAAGGTAAGAGAAAATGCATTTAGAGTAGTAAAATTTAAGAAGCTCAAATAAAAAAATAGTATTCATAGATTTGAGAAACATAGTGGGAAAAAATCATGTAAAGCAAAAGGTAGAAATGGAAAATGTGTGTGTGATTTTGTGTGTGTGTGTGTATATATATGATTTCCACAATGAAAAGACACAGGAAATTAAGAAAATTGTTCACAAACATTCAGTACAAAAAAAATTTCTAGGAATTAAGGATGTAAAGTCCATATTATAAAAATTATTACTGCTTAGCCTAATAAATGTAAAAAAGATTCAAAATCCAGACAAAGAATATAAAATTGTAACAAGAAAAACCCCACAAAATTTAGATGAGAATAATATCCTAAAATCTGCCAAAGATAAAAAGACAGGAGAATGAGGCCACATGCCAAATATTAGTAATCATAATTTAAACTCAAATACTGATTTAAGAAGTTTATATTTGTAAATGATGAGCCTGTGTGTGGATTGGTGATGTGTAAGAGAACCAGATTCTTAGGTTCTATGTTAAGAAGTGAAAAGTAATGTCTAAAAGTGAAATGTCAATACAGAGCAGCATAAAATAAGATAGAAATGAGGAGGAACAGACTAGGAAAAAAATATAAAAGAATGGAAGAAGTTTTTTTTAAGGTTGAATTCAGATAGGGAGTGTTGGGGGCAAGAAATTACTTTTTATTATAAACCCTAAAAGATTATTTTAAAAATATTTTTCAAAATATGCATATATTTTTATTTTTAAAAGTATATTGAATATTTGTTGTATTTGTTAAAAATGCAAATTTTACCATTATGTTTGATCCAGCACTTCCAGTTCTAGGAATATATCCTAAGAAGATTATTGCAGATTAGTTTAAAGGTAGAGATAGCTGATATTTATCTAGCTATAACAGGGAAATCTGCAGGACAATTTAAATTGCCAACAATAAACTTTAAGTGAAATAAGTTATATGTAGCCCTTAAACAAAATGTTAGAAGATAATATTTAATGACATGAGATTTTTAAATGTATATATTATTTAGAAAGACTTTAGGCTCAGAATACTGGTACCACCATGAATTCACCAGTCTCAGCTGGGCCCTGCACATCAAGCTCACTACATTTTCTCTCTAATCATCATTCTCAATGTTTAGACCTGTTCTACCCTCTTTAAACTTCTGACTCCTCCCTTCATCCCTGATTCTCTATAGACTACCTTGACTTCTATTCCACAAAGACAATGGGAGATGTAAAACAAGCTACACCACCACATTTCGCACCGCCAAGCTTACAGGTCATCCTGGATCCTCCTTTCCTGTTACAATTAATGGAATGCCTTTCTCCTGTGGAAGGTTAATTTGTCTTGTGTAATCTTGAGCCCACATCCTGTTATCTTTCTGAATCTTTACTCTTCTTCTCTTTGATATTTCTTTTTTCAACTTCTCTCTAAATTTTACTGGGTCTTTCAAATAAACATTTATACATGCTTTATTCTTTTCTATCTTCAACAACACACATGCACACATACACACATACACACCTTTCTGGATGGTGAATTGAGGTAACTGGTAGATGTCTCATATATGTGCATGTGTGAATTTTGTGTATTCCTATGCAGCTTGGTTCTGCTGAGTGAAGGTTTCTGTATTCATTTATTGTTTCTTCCAGATGAAATGGCATATAGGCACATGAAAATTGAGTAATGCTTAAAATGTTCCCTAATATATCAGTCTTATGGGAAGAAATTTATATTTCCTGGCAGGGCACGGTAGCTCACTCCTGTAATCCCAGGATTTTGGGAGGCCGAGGCAGGTGGATCACCTGAGGTCAGGAGTTTGAGACCAGCCTGGCCAACATGGCAAAACCTCGTCTCTACTAAAAATACAAAAATTAGCCAAGTGTGATGGTGTGTGCCTGTAATCCTAGCTACTCGGGAGGCTTAGGCAGGAGAATCGCTTGAAACTGGGAGGCGGAGGTTGCAGTGAGCTGAGATTGTGCCACTGAACTCCAGCATGGAAGACAGAGCAAGATTCCATCTCAAAACAAACAAACAAAAAAGAAATTTATATTTCCTAAACAAGTATGAATTGACTATACAGAATTAATTGTACATGGTATTTTTCTTTTCCAGATTACCACTCTAAGTTTTTTGTTTACAAAAAAAAATCATTAAGTCTTAAATGTCAGTTAACTTGAAATTCAAAAATAACACCCAAATTTGAGCAAACTAGATTGATAAAGAGAGACATAATGCTCCAGATTTGCATGAATTGTTTGAGTAAAATATGCTAAAGAGGAACAAAAAGCAACCAACCAAACAGCAATCAAAAACAACAAAAGTCTTCTGATAAATATAATACTCAAAGATATACATTGAGAAAATGTTGAAGTGTTCTCTGTGCTAAAATGAATGGCTTTGAATTAAATGAGAGCACTAAAAATAAATGTTCAGAGATACCCCAGAATCCTTCTCTTACCCTTCAATAATGAAAAAGCTGATTTTGCATGGACACATTTTATGCAACATAAATTTAAATTGCCCAGAATTCACGCACTAGAAAATGGGTAGTATATGACATGAAGCTCTCTCGGTTATCAACGTCTTTCGGACTGAAGTTATTAGAAGCGTGTTGTAAATACTTGTTTTGTAAACTGCTTCCTTGCTATACAGTGAAAATGTCACTGTTGATACTCAATAATGTTATAGTCTGTATTTATTGCCTCATAAAGTTAAACTAACTATGTGTTAGCCATGCTGCTGATGGAGACTTGCCTTAATGTGGTTTATAGTAGTGCTAATTCTGCCCGGGTCCCACACCGCAGCAGGATGGGGGAGTAATGCTGTCGTTAATTAAAGGAATAAAACAGACTTTTCACATGTGGCTCACAGCCCAACTTTAATTACCCTTTGGCTCCAAGGCCTCTAGTGGGGTCATTTTTGCAAGTAGCTTCTTAAGTTGCTGACAAAGCCTTCTGTCCTTGGCAGATTCCGAGAAGGCAATGGTGATGGTTTCACCACTTGTATCATTAAATTTCATTTTAAGATTGTAAGGAGTACTTAGCTGGCTAGTTGAAAAATGATTTGATGTTTCATTGACAACCTTATATGAGATGCTGCGATTTATTTATAGACTTATAAGTAAAATCAGTTTGGTTCTGTTCTATTTTCTTTCTTTAGATGAGATTGGTGGTCATTCCATATTTATAGCATCAACAACTGACTTCAGAATACTAACTTTCAAGACTCTCCACATATAAATCCTTAATCAATAAAATCTCAATATGGCAATGATATTATTAGTAAATCTAGTAATATAAATGACACTAACTTAGGTCCTACTAGGTGTTAAGCAATGTTCTATATGTTTTTCATGTATTATGTCTTTTATACCACTGTCAAAATCCTGTAGAGGTAGGTTTCATTATTATCCCCATTTCAGAGATGTCACAGAGACAAAGAGAGGTAAAGTAACTATCCCAGGCTCTCACAAGAAAGTAACTTGGCTGATATTAATCTGTATTTTTTCCTTTCCTGCAACTCTGGATCAGTTTTAAAACCTCCAAAAACTTGAACGTATAGCACAATGAACAATTTTTAATTATGACATTTGCCTTACTTAGCTTTATTTTTTGCTAAACCATCTAAAAGTTTCACAAATTATGACTGTTTTCTAAATATTTCACCATTCAACTCCTAACAATAAAGGCTTCTATATAATACATCATTATTATCATACCTAAGAAAATTAACATTCAATATTCTTATCTACTGTAAAATTCATGTTTAAAATTTTCTAGTTATTCCCTAAAAAATGTCTTTTATAGATATCTTTTCCCTTAAATCCAAGATCCAATGAAGCATCATTCACTGCATTTAGTTGTTATGTATTTTTTAAAAAATTCTGAACTACCTTCATTTCCCCCCATTTTTTCTTGATATCGAATTTGGGAAGTATTTAGGTCAGTTGCCTTTCAGAGTGTCCCACATTCTGCATTAATTTTGAATTAATTATTCCCTCATTTAATTTGAATTAATTTACCCTCATTCTAAAATTTTTTGAGGGTATACTATTCAGGAGATGGTCTGTACTTATTATATCACATCTGGAAGTGAGAAACTTCTACTGGTATTATGAGTGGTGATGTTAGGTTTGATCACTTTGTTAAGGTGGTAACAATGGACTATCTCCATTGTCAAGTTAACTTCACATTTGTAATTAAGAGTTGATATTTCCTATGACTGTTTTGTTTCCCATAAGAAGATGTTAATAAATATCAATGAATCCTTCATGAAATAATTATTACATCGGAAATTACAAAACAATGAATTTCAAATTCTATCTTTCCTTTTACATGTATTAGCTAGCATGTTTTTTAAATAAGACATTTCTGGGTTTTATTTTGTTTGCATTCCCTCCATTTATATAGACTCATAGATTTTTTTAATGTACTGTTTTATAATGCATTACCATTAATGTTTTTTAGATGCTCAAACATCACAAATTTGGCCAGCAGCAACCTCTTTAGGTAGAATTTTTTGTCTTTTTCTATGAGTCCATTAGTCTTTCAGAAACCCTTGCTTTCTGATACAAGATGACCTGGGCTCACCATTTTACTTTCTTTGCCCAAATCTATAACTAGCCATATAGCCTAGTGTCAGTAACCCCTTAAGTAGAGAAGGTTATTTGGAAACTAAGTTCTGGTATTAAGTATATATACTGCTCTGAGGTGTAATTTTTATTACATCCTTTTAGTGGACAGAAACACATATACACATACACATTATTCACAAATTTATAGTAATACCTACAATTTAAATCCAATGTCACAGTAAAACATTTAGAAGAAAACAGGGGACAATCTTTGTAAAATGAAGTTGGTAATGATTTTTTAAATATGATACTAAAGCACAGGCAACAAAAGAAAAAATATGTATGTAAGATTACATCAATATTAAAATGTTTGTGCAGCAATGCATTCTATCAACAGAGTAAAAGGGCAACCCAGGGAATGGGAGAAATATTTGCAAATCATCTATCTGATAAGGAATTAAAATTCAGAATGAAGAAAGAACTCCTATTACTCAACAGTCAAAAATATAAACCATTTATTTTTTTAATGGGCAGAGAACTCAACTGCACATCTCTCCAAAGAAGATGTTCTATTGGTCAATAAGCACATGAAAAGATGGTCCATATCACTTGGTCATTAGGGGAATGGAGATCAAAACCACAGTGAGATACCACTTGACACCCATTAGGATGGTTATTCTTTGGGAGAAAGAGAAAGAAGAAAGGAAGGAAAGAAGGAAGGAAGGAGGGAAGAAGGAAAGAAGGAAGGAGGGAAGAAGGAAAGAAGGAAGGAAGGAGGGAAGAAGGAAAGAAGGAAGGAAGGAGGGAAGAAGGAAAGAAGGAAGGACGGAGGGAAGAAGGAAAGAAGAAAGGAAGGAGGGAAGAAGGAAGGAAGGAGGGAAGAAGGAAGGAAGGAGGGAAGAAGGAAGGAAAAGGAAGGAAGGAAGGAGAAAGGAAAGTGTTAGTAAGGATATGGAGAAGTTGAAACCTTAGTACACTGCTGGTGGTAATGTAAAATGGTGCAGCCACTATGAAAAACAGTATGGTGGTTTCTGAAAAAATTAAATATAGATTTACCATATAATCCAGTAATTACAATTCTGAGAAATACTGAAAAGAAATGAAAGTGGGAACTTAAACAGGTATTTGTAAACCAATGTTCATAGCAACAATATTCACAAAAGCCAAAAGGTGGAAGCAGCCCACGTATCTATTGATGGATGAAAGGTATATATGTACAATGAAATATTACTATATATTTGTTCTATAGATTATTAGGAGAGGTATTAAGATTCCTGACTATTATTGTGTATTTCTCTATTCCTTCTTGCATTTATAGCCATGTTTGCTTCATATATTTTGGAGCTGTTTTATTATGATGATTTTATTATGATGTCCTCTTGATTAATTGATGCTTTTAACATTATGAAATAGCACTTTTTATTACTGGTAATATATCTTGTTCTGAATCTACTCTGTCTAATATTAATATAATCATGGTAGGTTTATTTTGATTAGTATTAGCGTGTTATGTCTTTTCCAATTATTTCACTTTTAATTTATGCGTGTCTTTATATTTAAAGTTGGATTTGTCAATGTTCCATACACTGTGTTCTTATTAATACGTTATGATATATCACCTTTAATTGGGATGTTCAGTCCATTTACATTTAATGTACTTTTTAATATGATGGGTTACAGTCTACCATCTTCCTCTTAGTTTTCTGTTTCCCAAATATTCATTATTCCCTTTAATTCTTTTTTTCCTTATTAGGAATTAATTGAGAATTTTTGTAATTCCTTTTATCTTCTTTACTAACTTATTTGCTATAACTCTTTATCTTAGTACCTTCTTTAATATACACAATATACATCTTAAAATTATCTCAGTCTTCCTTCAAATCATATGATACCACCTCACTTGTAGCACAAGAAACTTACAACAGTATACTCCATTTCACCTTCCTGGCCTTTGTGCTATTGTTACTGTGCATTTTACTTCTATTTATGTAATAAATCACACAGTATATTATTACTAATTTTACTTTAGTCAATTATCTTCTAAATATATTTAAATAAAAACATATTTTTATACAGCCATACTTGAGAGATATTCTGGGTTCTGTTTAAGACCACTGCAATAAAGTAAATATCTCAATAAAGTGAGTCACATATGTTTTCTTGTTTCCAGGGCATATAAAAGTTATGTTTACACTATACTGAGTCTATTAAGTGTGCAATATCATTATGACTTAATAAACAATATGCACATCTTATTTTGAAAATACTTTATGGCTAAAAATCACTAACCATAGTCTGAGCTTTCAGCTAGTCATAATCTTTTTGCTAGTGGAGGGTCTTGCCTTGATGTTGATGGCTGCTAACTCATCAGGATGGTGATTGCTGAAAGTTTATGCAGATGTGCCAATTTCTTAAAATAAGAAAACATGATGTTTCCCACGGTGATTGACTCTTTCTTTCATGAAAAGTTTCTCTGTAGCATGCAACACTTTTTGATGGTATTTTCCCCACAGTAGAACTTCTTTCAAATTTAGAGTCAATCCTCTAAAACTCTGCTGTTGTTTTATCAGCTAAGTTTATGTAATATTCTAAATACTTGGTTGTCATTTCAACAATGTTCACAGCATCTTCATCAGGAGCAGATTCCATCACAATACACCACTTTCTTTGCTCATTCATAAGAGGCAACTCCTCACCTGTTAAAATTTTATCATGAGATTAAAGCAATTCAGACACATCTTCAGGCCACCTCAAATTATAGTTCTCTTACTATTTCCACCACATTTGTAGTTAATTCCCTCATGGAAGTCTTGAAGCCTGTCAAAATAATTTATGAGGGTTGAAATCAACTCCTTCTAAACTCCTATTAATGTTCATATTCTCACCTCTTCCCAAATCATGAATGTTGCCAATGGCATTTAGAATGATTAATCCCTTTTCAGAGGGTGTTCCATTTACTTTGCTCAGATCCATCAAAGAAACCACTATCTATGGGAGCTATGTAAGCCTTACAATACATTATAAAATGTATTTCTTAAATAATAAGACTTAAAGTCAAAATGACTCCTTGATCCATGGGCTGCAGATTGGATGTTGTGATAGCAGAATGAAAACGACATTAATCTCCTCGTACATCTCCATCAGAGCTTGTAGGTAACCTGCATTGTCAATGAGCAGTAATATTTTGAAAGGAATCTTTTTTTCCTTAGCAGTGGGTCTCAACAGAGGGTTTAAAATATTCAATAAATCCATACTGTGAACAGATGTCCTGTCATCAAGGTTTTGTTGTTGCACTTATAGAGCAAAGGCAGAACAGATTTTGCATAATTTTCAGGGCTCTATGCTTTTTGGAATGGTAAATAAGTATTGGCTTTCACTTAAAATCACTAGCTACGTTAGCTCACCAGCTACATTAACCCCAGCCTGTCCTTCAAAATTTTGAAGCTAGCCATTGACTTCTCCTTCTTAGTTGTTACAAAAGTTCTAGATGGCATTTTCTTCCAATATAGACTGTCGGCATTTAAAATCTGTTATTTCATGTAACCACATTCATCAATGATCTTAGCTAGATCTTCTAGAAAACTTTCTACAGCTTTTATATTAGCACATACTGTTTCATCTTGTACTTTTATGTTATAAAGATGGCTTCTTTACTTAAACATCATGAACCAATCTCTCCTAGCTTCAAACTTTTCTTCTGCAGTTTCGTCACCTCTGTCACCCTTCACAGAATTGATGAGAATTGGGGCCTTACTCTTGAGGCTTAAGGCAATGTTGTGGCTTGTTTGATCTTTCATCTAGACCACTAAAACTTTCTCCATATCAGCAATAAGGCTGTTTCACATTTTTTTTTTTTTTTTTGAGATGGAGTCTTGCTCTGTTGCCCAGGCTGGAGTGCAGTGGCGTGATCTCGGCTCACTGCAAGCTCCACCTCCTGGGTTCACGCCATTCTCCTGCCTCAGCCTCTCCGAGTAGCTGGGACTACAGGTGCCCGCCACCACACCCAGCTAATTTTTTGTATTTTTAGTAGAGACGGGGTTTCACCGTGTTAGCCAGGATGGTCTCGATCTCCTGACCTCGTGATCCACCCGCCTCGGCCTCCCAAAGTGCTGGGGTTACAGGCGTGAGCCACCGCGCCCCGCCGTTTCACATTCTTATCATTCATGTGTTCACCAGAGTAGCAATTTTAATTTCCTTCAATAACTTTTCCTTTGCATCCACAATTTGGTTGTTTGGTGCAGAGGCCTAGATTTAAGCCTATGTTGTCTTTTGACATGGCTTCCTCCCTATTAATTCTTTCTAGCTTTTGATTTAAAGTGAGAGATATGTGAGTTAATTCTTTCTAGCTTTTGATTTAAAGTGAGAGATGTGTGACTTTTCCTTTCACTTGAATACATAGAGGCTACTATGGGGTTATTAACTGACCTAATTTCAATGTTGTTGTTTTCTTTTAGAAGACTTGAGGAGAAAAGGAGAGATGTTGGAATGAACAAGCAGTCCATGGAGCAGTTACACACACTCATCAATTAAGTTTGCTGTCTTATATGAGGGAAATTCATGGTACCCCAAAACAATTACCATAGTAACATTAAATAACACTGATCAGAGACCACCATAATGATATAATAATGATGAAAGAGTTTGAAATACTTCAAGAATTACCAAAATGTGGCACAAAGACCCAAAAGAAGCACATGCTGTTGAAAAAATGACAATAGACTTGCTCGATGCAGGGTTGCAACAAACCTTCAATTTGTAAAAAATGCATTATCTATGAAGCACAATAAAGTGAAGTAAAATTAAATGAGGTATGCCTGTTTGTATTTACCTATGTAATTATCATTTTCCATGCTCTTCATTTCTTTGTGTAAATCCAGTATTGCCTCCGCTTGGATTTCTTTTAATATTTACTGTAGTGCAGATTTGCTGGTAATGAATTCTTTCAGCTTCTATACATCCAAAAAAGATTTGTTTAGTCTTCTGTTTTTGAAATATATTTTCACCAAACCTTTGTCCAGTGAACTTTTTTTCAATAATGTAGAGACATTGGTCCATTTTCTTCTAGCTTGAAATATTTCCAATGAGAAATCTGCTGTTGTCTTTAATTTTATTCCTCTGTAGGTAAGGTGTCATTAATTTTTAGTCCTTTTAATACTTTCTCTTTATCACCAGGTTTATGCAACTTAAGGTGGTGTGCCTTAGTTATAAATAAGTTTATTAATACTTATATTACTTGCATGTGTTTCCTTTTTACCAGTCTAATCCATTTGAAATTTAGCATGATTATAATTTTATGTTTTTATTTTCCAAGTCACTATCTAATTGTACAAACATAATTTGTTAAATAGTTCATTATTTATTTCCCCAGTGATTTAAGATACCTGACACTTTTGGCATATAGTAAATTTCTATACATACAAAGTTCTATTTCTGAACATTCTATTCTGTTTCATGTAGTTTAAGCATGATATTTTTACAACATGTTTTAATATCTAGAAAAGGAAGTCCTTATTCATTGTTTTTTTCATGGCATTTATTTTTACACAATATAAATTCAGTTTCTCTAGCCCAAGAAAAAATGCATAGAGTATTTCACTGGGATTGTCTTAAATTTATATAATTAATTTGGAAGAATTAGAATATGTATGATGATCATTCATACTATCTAAGAACCAGAAATGTATTTTTATTGTTCATTTTACAAGTATTTAAATTGATTTATTATATATGTATTGAATATTTTTATTAAATTAATTCCTAAACCTAAGTGTATTTCTAAATACATGTTTATAATTATTATAAAGATTTCTTTAGTTATGATCTGTTGATATAAGACTATGTTTTATGTTTATATTATATCTTGCTTACTTATTTTATTGAATTTTTATTTTATTTTAAATACTCTTTGGTTTTCAAATTATGTTATTATGCTACCTGCAACTGGAAACAGTTTTACCTCTCTGCGTCCAATTTTGTTCTTATGTATTGCCTACTGTATGCAATACAATTCAGGTTTCCCGATTTGCTGTACTTAGTTAAAAATAAATGCCTAAAAGTTTATTTTTTATTAGTAGAATGATGACTTTGGTGGTTGTTATATGTAACATATAACATGTAATTTGTTATAGTGTATAAAATATATAATATATACCTAATAAAATCATATCATTCATAAATTTATTTTTAAATATCTATTTTCTTATTTTATTTTTTATTCATTTTTTAACAGAAATGAGTATTATATTTTGTTAAATACTATTTCAGAATACATAGAAATAAGTTTATGGTTTTCTTCCTCTTTAGATCTAGTGATGTGGCTGATTACATTAATGGATTCCTTAATATTAAGCCATCCTTGAATTCCTATGATAAATTCTATTTGGTTAAATTGCATATTTCTTAATGTGTTTTGGAGTGTTATTATTTTGCATATATTATATGTAGATACTTAAATTGAAATTTTAAAGAGACTGCTCTTTTTTTGTTACATTTTAGTCTATGTCATGTCTACATATAAATGTTATACTTGCTTCAAAACATAATTTTAAGTTTTTCTTACTATATGTTCTGAAACACTTTAAGTGACATATTTTTCTGCAATTTTAATAAAATTCTTTTATGAAAGTATCTTAGTCATTTGCTTTTTATGTTGACCTTTTAAATATTTTCTCTTTCTTCTATGAGAATTGGTCTTTTAAGCTTAAAATTGTATGCTCTTTAGTATCTCCATAACTTCCCTCACTTACACAGCTATGTTTTTACTTATATTTATAGTGACTTCACATTTACTATGACGGTGTTTTCACCTCTACTTTTCTTCTCTTTACTGGGACTTTTTCCAAGACAAGAATCATTTACACTTGTTTATCTAGCACTAGGACAATATGAATGCAATAGGCATGTGAACAATAATCAAATTATGCCATTGCTTAATATTGTTTTATTTATTTTAATTTTTAATGCAATTATTTTTAAAGCAAATACCATTTGTATATTGTTTGCAATTTCTAACACAATCCCTAAACATGCCAATTGTTTATATTATGGCCTTTTATAAAATTAAGGGACTAAATGAATATTTTACAAAATTTTAAAAATTAATATGAATTAAACATGACATTAAGACTCATTTTATTTTCCTATTCCCAAAAAGAGTAGCTCATAAGCAGTATGTTTTAGGAGTACTATCACTAGAACTAGTATTTAGTCATTCTGCAATAAAAATTTCTTTCTTTTAGCTAAAATTTTTTAATACATGTGTTTAAAAATTTGAAATGAAGTAGAATATATTGTATTGAGTTTATAACTGATAAGTGAAAAATTTTTAGAATCTTTTGCTGAAGTACTCAATGACTCATAAAACTAGTATATTTATTCTGAAAAGAAATAAAAATATAAATACTTTATATGGTTGACTTATAATTCTGGGCAAATTTGTTGTCTTCCTAAAGATGGTGGCCCAGTTTATAGAAAAACAGAAGCTATTTATAAGACATCAAATTAACAGATCTAAATAAAAACTTCCAAAGACATTAAAAACAGCTGTGTTTTAATATTTTTTGAGCTATTACATTCTCTCCAAAGAAACATGGGTTATGGCAGCTACTGCAGTGAGTTCTATAGCAGTTGACCACAGGAAATAAAAAGTAAAGAAAGTTGTAAATTTTTTAGCTAGAAATTAAATATTTACAAAGACATTATGTGATATGAGGTGCTGAGATACATTTAGGAAGTATTGTGAACCTTACATTCAATACAAACAAGAAATATACTGTATGTCAGCCTTAGCATTGTCTTATAATACGTTGTGTAGCAAATTATGGATAATTCTGGAGCAACCAAGTTAACCTATTTTCAAAAGGAAATTCACATTCCAAATTGTTGTCAGGAACAAACTTTAATTTAAAATAAGTAATTCTTTTCTGTACTGTGTACTTGATATGGTTTGGTTCTGTGTCCTCACCCAAATCTCATCCTGAATTGTACTCCCATAATTCCCTTCTGTTGTGGGAGGGACCCAGTGGGAGATAACTGAATCATGGGGACAGTTTCTCCCATACTGTTCTCATGGTAGTGAATAAGTCTCACGATATCTGATGCTTTGATAAGGAGAAACCTACTTCACTTAGCTCTCATTCTCTCTCTTGCTGCTGTCATGTAAGAAGTGCCTTTCACCTTCTGCCATGATTGCAAGGGCTCCCTAGACATGTGGAACTGTAAGTCCATTAAACCTCTTCCTCTTTTAAATTGCCCAATCTCAGGTATGTCTTTATCAGCAGCATGAAAATGAACTAATACAGTACTCAAATCATTAGATGCTTACATTGTATTACTATGCTTCCAGAAAGTAACATAGACTCTCCATTTGCCCGTTAATGAGGTAAGTCTTACTGATGCTGAAAGAAGTGATTCTTATTACTAAGCCATGGGTCAGTTTAGGACACTGCTCAGTTTATTTTAAAATTATGTTTGATTGAAGTGTATCAATGACAGATTTCATTTGTATTGTATAGAAAATGTCATTGTCACCGAAATAAGCCTATGGTTTTTACTTTGTTTAGATATAATCATATGCTTTGTCCCTTGACTTTTTGTAGGTTCTTTGTATTTGACAATTGAGACAAATCACACAGGTAACAATATGTGCCCCTATGCATACATACCCATACCCATAAAAATACCTTTGGCCTACTTTACCATATAACTAAAATGTCAATCATAGTTTTTCTTTCTGACTGCTTAATATTTTTCTTCTGGTGTCCTCATATATCATATAAAAATAACCTAATAGGAATAATTGTTTCTATTTTGGGGGAATGGGGTAAAAATGAAAAAACCTATGAATTGGGATCATTATTAATTTCATCTTTTGGGAAATTATAAATTTTTCTCAAACAACTTGAGAATGAGATGTACCATGGAGAGGTGGAACAAGGTTCCCAAATAGAAGCCTCCATCACTTGTCCTTTGTAACATCAAATTGAATAACTATCCACACAAAATAAGCACCTTCATAAGAACCAAAAATAAGGAGAGTGGTCACAGTACCTGGTTTTAACTTCATATCACTGAAATAGGCACAGAAGAGGGTAGGAAAAACAGTCTTGAATTGCCAGTGTCACCTGTCCCTCATGCCCTGGCAGTGGCACATGACATGAAGAGAGAATCTAAGGCCTTGGCAGTGGCACATGACATGAAGAGAGAATCTGTGCACTTGGGGACGGAGAGTCCACTGATTGTGGGACTTTGGAGTGGAACTCAGTGCTGCCACAGCGGAAAGCAACACTGGGGAGAATCCAGCTGTTGTCCACAGAGGGAGTATTTAGACCCGTTCTAGACAGAGAGGAATCACACATCTCGTTGGTCACAACCTGAGTTCCTGCAAACCTCACCACCACAAACTAAAGTTCTTTGGGATCAAAGTAAACATGAAACTGGGGTCTGAATAAACTTGCCATATAGGCCACAAGGACTAAAATTATTGCTCTTTATTAAAGGGACATAGAGCTGCTGAATAGATGAAAAAACAAGACCCAATGATCTGTTGCCTACAAGATACACATTTCACCTAAAACGATACACATAAACTGAAAATAAAGGGATGGAAAAAGATATTTTATGCCAATGCAAACTAATAAAGAACAACACTAGCTATGCTTATATCAGGCAGAATAGATGTCATGAAAACAAACTTTTAAGAGACAAATTTCATTATATAATGATTAAGGGGTCAATTCAGCAAGAGAGTATAATGATTGTAATTATTTAAGCACTCAACACTGGAGCACTCAGAATCACCAAAAAAAAAAAAAAATATATATTAGAATTAAAGAGAGAAAGATAGACCTCAATACGATAATAGCTGAAGACTTAAACACCCTATTTTCAGCATTGGAAAGATGTCCCAGAAGAAAAGATAACAAAGAAACATTGGACTTAATCCATACTATATAACAAATGGACCTAATAGATATTTATAGAACATTTCATGCAACAGCTGCAGAATACACATTCTTATCCTCAACACATGGATCATTCTTAAAGCTGGCCATATGCTAGGTCACAAAATAAATTGTGAAACATTTTTTTAAATGAAATAATATCAAGCATCTGACCACAAAGGAATAAAACTAGAAATCAGTAACAAGAGGAATTTTGGAAACTACATGAACACATAAAAATTAAGCAATATGCTCTTGAATGGCCAGTGATTCAATGAAGAAATTAAGAAAATGGAAAAATGTCTTGAAACAAATAATAATGGAAACACAACAATACCAAAGCATATAAGATACAGTGAAAATACTAAGTGGGAAATTTATACTCATAAATGCCTACATCAAAAAATAAAAAAACTTCAAATAAATAACTTAACCATGAATGTTAAAGAACTAGAAAAGCAATAGCAAAGTGAACCCAAAATTAGTAGAAGAAAAGAAATAAAGATCAGAGAGAAATAGATGAATTTGAAATCAAGAAAACAATACAAAACATCTACAAAACCACAAGCGGGTTCTCAGAAAAGATAAAAGTGACAAACTCTTACCCAGAATCTGGAAGAAAAAAAAAGAGAGAGGACCCCAATAAATAAAATCAGAGATGAAAAAAGCAATATTACAACTGATAACTAACACTGCAGAAATACAAAAGATCATTAGTGGCTACTATGAGCAACTATATACCAATAATTTGCAAAATCCAGAGGAATGGAATAAATTTCTATGCATAAAACAAACCAAGAGTGAACCACGAAGAAAATTCAAAACCTAAACAGACCAATAACAAGATTGAAGCTGTAATAGAAAGTCTCCTAGTAAAGAAAAGCCTGGGACCAGATGGCTCCACTGCTGAATTCTGCCAAACATTTAAAGAATAAATAATATAAATCCTATTCAAACTATTCTGAAAAATAGAGAAGAAAATACTTCCAAACTAATTCTTTGAGGCCAATGCTACCCAATACAAAAACCAGACAAAGTCACGTCAAAAAAGAAACCTGAAGGCCAATATCTCTGATGAATATTGATGTAAATATCCTCAACAAAATACTAACAAACTGAATTCAACAACACATTAAAGAGATTATTAACCGTGGCCAAATAGAATTTATCCCAAAGATGCAAGGATGTCTCAACATATGCAAATCAATGAATGTGACACATCATAGCAACAGAATGAAGGACAAAACCATATGATTCTTTCAATTGATGCTGAAAAACGTGATAAAATTCAACATTCTTCTTGATAAAATCCCTAAAAAAACTGAGTATATAAAGAATATACCTCCAAATAATAAAAGTCACATATGACAAACCCACTGCTAGTATCATACTGAATGGCAGAAAACTGCAAGTCTTTCTGCTAAGATCTGGAACATGACAAGAATGCCTACTTTCATTACTACTTTCATTTCAACATAGTACTGGAGGACCTAGCTGTAGCAATCAGGAAAGAGAAAGAAATAAAGGACATCCATATTGGAAAGAAAGAAATCAAATTATTCTTGTTTACAGGTGATATGATCTTCTCTCTGGGAAAATTAAAGACTTCACAAAAACTATGGTCAATACTTGCCATGGGCCTAGGTCAGACTCAAAGATGTGCTGGCTTTAGGTGGGACCAAGCAAATACGCAGCTGTGGTGGCTATGCAGAGACCACTTCTGCTTGATAAAAGGACAGGGAAGAATAAATGGGACTTTGTGTTGCAACTTGGGTACCAGCTGGACCACAGTGAGGCAGAGCATTGAAGGGGCTCTTGGGGTCTCCAATACAAGGCTTTCATACTTGGATGAAATTTCTGAACATGGCCTGGCCCAGAGGGGAGCCGACTCCCTGAAGGGTGAGTCCCAGGCATGGCAACATTAACTACAACCTGATTGAAGAGCCCTTGGGCTTTACATGAACATTAGTGGTGGCCAGGCAGAATCTTCCATGGGCTGGTGGTGGTAGTGGCCACAAAGAAAGACTCCTCTGCCTGTGGAAAAGATAGAGAAGAGTGGTAGGGACATTGCCTTGTGGCTTGGGTACCAACTCAACAGCAGTAAAATAGAGCACCAAGTAGAATTCTAAGGTTTTCACCTCCAGGCCCTGGCTCCAGGGTTGGGGCATCTCTGGACCTCCCAAGGGCCCAGGGAAATTTGCCACTCTAAATGAAAAGACATAAGCCTGGCTGTCTTGGCCACCTGCTGATTGTAGAGCCCAAGGGCCATAATTGAACACAGGTGGTAGCCAAGTAGTTGATAATGTGGGCCCTGGGCAAGACCCAGTGCTGTGCTGGCTTTAGGTCTGACCCAGTCCATTCCCAGTGGTAGTCGTTACAGGGGTTCTTATGTCACCCCTCACATAGCTGCAGACATCTCGGTACACAGAGAAAGACTACACTTCCTTTGCAGAAAATAAGGGCAGAGAACAAGAGTGTGCACATGGTAATTCACGTAATTTTTCCAAATCTTATCCAGGGCAACCAAAGTGTTACCACTACAAGTCTGCAAGACACACTGGTACTGGGTTTGAGGTGTTCCCTAATGGAAATACGGTTACAGTGACCAGCAACTTAGACCACAACACCAGACCTTCAAATACCTGGAAAGCTTTCCCAAGAAGAGAGAGTACAAACAAACCCAATTTGTGAAGACTACAATAAATAATTAACTCTTCAATGACCAGACACTGATGAATATCCACAAGCATCAAGACTATCTAGGAAAACATGACTCCACCAAACAATCAAAGTAAGCACTAGAGACAAATCCCAGAGAAAAAGAGATGTGTGACCTTTCAGACAGATAATTCAAAATAGTTGTTTTGAATTATCTTGTATTTAATCGAGGAAATTCAAGAAACTCAGTGAAACTCCAGATAACACAGAGAAGAAATGCAGAATTCTATCAGATGAATTTAACAAAGAGTGAAATAATTAAAAAGAGTCAAGCAGAAATTCTGGAGTCGAAAAACGCAATTGACATGCTGAAGAATGAATCAGATTCTCAAGAGCAGAATGGGTCAAGCAGAAGAAAGAATTAGTGAGCTTTGGTACAGATTATTTGAAAATACGCTGTCAGAGGAGATGTACTAATCCATTCTCACATTGCTACAAAGAAATATCCAAGACTGGGTAATTTACAAAAGAAATAGGTTTAATTGACTCACAGTTCTGCATTGCTGGGGAGGCCTCAGAGGGAAACTTACAATCAGGGCAGAAGGCAAAGGAGAAGCAGGCAACTTCTTCACAGGGTGGCAGGATGGAGTGAGTGCTAGCAGGAGAAATGCCAGATGCTTATTAAAAAAAAAAAAAATATATATATATATATATATATATGTATCAGGCCAGGCACGGTGGCTCATGCCTGTAATCATATCACTTTGGAAGGCAGAGATGGGCGGGTCACTTGAGGTCAGGAGTTCAAAACCAACCTGGCCAACATGGTGAAACCCTGTCTCTACTAAAAATACAAAAATTAGCCGGGTGTGGTGGCATGCATCTGTAATCCCAGCTACTCAGGAGGCTGAGGCAGGAAAATGGCTTGAGCCCAGGAGGCGTAGGTTGCAGTGAGCCATTGTGCCACTGCATTCCAGCCTAGGGGATAGAGCGAGACTGTTTCGAAAAAAAACAAAAACAAAAACAAAAAACTGTCAGATCTCCTGAGACTCACTCACAATCATGAGAACAGCATGGGGGAAACTGCCCCCATGCTCCAATTACTTCCACACTAGTCCTGCTCTTGACACATTGGGATCATGGGAATAATGGGGGTTACAATTCCAGATGAGATTTTGAGTGGGGACAGAGTAAATGCAAAAAGAATAAAATATAATGGATCGCCCCTAAAAGATCTAGAAAATAGTCTCACGAGGGTAAATCTAAGAGTTTGGGGGCTCAAAGAGGAAATCAAGAGAGAGATGGGGCAGAAAGTTTATTCAAAGGGATAGTAACACCAAACTTCCCAAATCTAGAGAAAGATATCAATATTCAAGTACAAGAAGGGTACAGAAGAGCAAGCAGATTTAACCCAAAAAAGACTACCTCAAGGTATTTAATAATCAAACTACCAAAGATCAAGGGTAAGCAAAAAATCCTAAAAGCAGCAAGAGACAAGATACAAATAACGGACAAAGGAGCTCCAACACATCTGGTAGCAAACTTTTGAGTGAAAACCTTACAGGCCGAGAGAGTGGCATGATATATTTAATGTGCTGAAGGAGAACTAGAATAGTGTTAATATATATAGTGAAAATATCCTTCAAACATGAAGGAGAAATAAAGACGTTTCAATGCAAACCAAAGCTGAGGGATTTAATCAACACCATACCTGTCCTACAATAACTCCTAAGGGACTTCTTCAATTTGAAAGAAAAAGACATTAATGAGCAATCAGAAATCATGTAAAGGTACAAAACTCACTAGTAATACTAAGTATACAGAAAAACACAATATTATAAAGTTGTAATTATGCTGTGTAAATGGCTCATACTTGGGTAGAAAGACTAAAAGGTAAACTAATCAAAAATAATAACCTCAACATTTCAAGACCTACACAGTACAAAAATATACAAATAGAAACAACAAAAAGTTAAAAAGCACGGGGAAGTTAACGTGTGGAGTTCTTATTAGTTTTCACTTTGCTTATCTGTTAGTTTGTTCCTTTATGCAATCAGTGTTAATTGTCGTCAGTTTAAAATCATGTGTTACATTATTTCCATGCTTCATGACAATCTGAAATCAAAAAACATATGAGATATATGCAAAAAATAAAAAGTAAGAAATTAAAACATGCCACCAGAAAAAAAATTCACTAAAAAGAAATCAGGAAGGAAGGAATGAATAAAGATAAGACCACAAAACAACCAGAAGACAAATAGCAAATGTCAGGAATAAGTCCTTACTTATCAATAATAACATCGAAAGTACATGAACTAAACTATCCAATCAAAAAACATAGAGGGATTGAATGGATTTAAAAAAAAGACATACCAGTCTGTTGCCTACCAAAAACATACTGCACCTCTAAAGACAAACATAGACTGAAAATAAAGGAATGCAAAAAGATATTTCATGGAAATAAAAAGAGCAGGGGCAGATAGAAGAACATAAGATATAAGAATATCTAGTCCTGCTCTCATATTAAGTAGATATTTATATTAAATAGATATAAGATATCCTTATATCTAATCCTGTTCTTATATTGAGATATAAAAATATCTACTGCTCTTTTATCTATTCTGCTCTTACATCTACTCCTGAAAAAATAGATATCAAGGCAAAAACTATAAAAAGAGACAAAGAAGCTCATTATTTAATTATAAAGGGATTGATTTAGCAAGAGGATATAAAAATTGTAAATATATGGATGGACCCAACAATGGAGCACCCAAATATATAAAGCAAATATTATTAATGCTAATGAGAAAAACAGACCTCAATGCAATGATGATAAAAGTCATATATGACTAACCTACAGCTAGTATCATACTTAATACTGAATGGGGAAAATCTGAAAGCCTTTCCTCTAAGATCTGGAACAAGAGAACGATGCCCAGTTTCACCACTGTTATTCAACACAGTACTCAAAGTCCTGGCTACAGCAATCAGAGAAGAGAAAGAAATAAAGGGCATCCAAACTGGAAAGGAAGGAATCAAATTATGCTTGTTTTCAGATGATATAATCTTTTATTTGGAAAAACCTAAAGACTCTACCAAAAATCTATTAGAAGTGATAAACAAATTCAGTTTGTGGATACAAAATCAACATACAAAAATCAGTAGCATTTCTATATGACAACAGTGGACAATCTGAAAAAGAAATCAAGAAAGTAATCCCTTTTACAATAGCCACACATAAAATTAAATACCTGGTAGTAAACTTAACCAAAGAAGTGAATGACCTCTAGAATAAAAACTATAAAACATTTATAAAAGAAATTGAATAGAATGATGCTTACCAGGGGGCTGGGCAGGGTAGTGGGACGGAGCGGGGCTAAGTGGAGGCAATAAATGGGTTCAAAAATATAGTTAGTTAGGATGAATCAGACCTAGTATTTGATGGCACAACAAGGTGACTACAGTCAATCATTTATTGTACACATAAAAAAATTAAAAGTATAATTGGATTGTTTGTAGCACAAAGAAAGGATAAGTGCTTGAAGTTATGGATACCCTATTCACCCTGATACAGTTATTACATATCGTATGCCTTCATCAAAATATCTCATGTATCCCATAAATATATACATTTACTGTGTACCCACAAAAATGAAACATAATTTTTTGAGAAACTAATACAGTTTGTGAATGAAAAATAAACCTCAAAAATTAAAAAATAGAATAAGATGTACAAAATGTAGCAAAATTTGCAGGAGCTTTTACAACTTTTTATAGCATGTAAACATTTATTAAAAGTAATAACCATGATTCAGTTATTTCATTATTACAGGTTGTAAAAAATACTATCGTTCAACTTATGTTCAACATGCCTTATGTTCAAGGTAATATGCCAATTAGCATAAATCAATGTATCAAGGGAAAACATTTTCATTCCTCTAACATATATACACCAATTCTCCATAATTTAAAGAATCACCTTAGGAATAGCAATAAATTAGAAAAATGAAAAGCAATGAAGAAAGATTTGTTAATACTTTAACCTTTAATCATTTTAGCTTGAATAAATTTAAATAAATTTTGACTGACGCCCCTTATTTGTCTACAAACTCTACATTTAAAACAGATATTTATCTTGTTTGATATTAATATGCACATAAATGTACTAGAGAAAATGACACATTAACTGTAATTTCATAGGTTAACTATCTTGAATAATTTTGGAAGTATAGATTATTTTGGGGTTTCTCTTGGATGTCTAATTCCTTTTTGCATGTTTTAGGAGGAAAAGAGAGATTACCCTGCTTTCTTGTTGTGTTATGACTAATAGTTAAATCTAAATTTGAACTTCCATGATTAATCAAAATTAGAATTCATAATATCAAGTTAATTTCATATTAATAAACAAGAAAAAATTCACTATTAATCTACATAAACCCTTAGTAATTCCATAGCAATTTAGATTTAGAAGTCTAAGTTTCATATATGGTTTAGAACAGTAGTTATGAAAATTTTTGTCTTGGCTCTGGGTCACATTTTCGTTTTCATTTATATGTATTTAAAGTTCTGATTATATACTGGACATTATAAATTATGTATTTTTTAAACTCTGGATTTTGTTATATTCCTTTGGAGGAATTTGAGTTTATTTCTAGCAGGCTGCCAATCACTAGATTTCCTGGAGCTTCTAGGAACTTGGTTCAGGGCTTCATTAGGTAGTATTTAGATTGGCCTGTTCTTTTCCTGTTGTTTTTTTTTTCCTGTCCAAATTTGCATTTGATAGTAAGTTTATGTTGGCTTTGACAAATGAGGAGTATTTCCTCTCCTGTTCACTGAAATATGTGTAAAAGATTGAAAGTCTGGTAGAACTATCTCTGCATCTGGGCCTTGTGATTGCTTGTGAAATATTTTTTGTCTAATTCTGATTCTTCTTATTTATGGAAATGTTAGAGGGACAGTCAATGTTTTGTTAAAACATATATCTTTATTATTATCATCACATCACATTATCATTTCCTTCAACTTTTTCAGTTTGTTATAGAATTTTGCCATGTTTTAAATCTGTTTATATGTAATTATGACCCCCTTCTATTCTTAATGTTGTTTATTTATATCTTTTTTATTCTTTATTAATTTCACCAGAAGATTTTCTACTTTAGTACATACAATGGGAATTCTGGAATAGAATAGTGTGCAATGAATGAGTTACAGTCCTATGTGATAAGATACAGATCCACGCTTAACTTGGAGACTGGGAGGGCCAGCAGTGCCAAGCTATTTGCCTTTAGGCCTTGAGCAGCATTTTCACTTAACCTCTGTATGCTGTACACTTATGCAGTTTTTCAGTTTGCTTTTCAAGAAGCAAAAATATTCAGGAAGCACTAGTTTAATTTCATTAATTTTTTCAAATAATAAAATTTTGAATTTGTCGATAGCAAAATAAGATATGCAAATATCACATAAACACAAAATAATACGCAGCTGTTTATTCTTCAATTAAAAGAAATAAAAATATATGCCAATACAAACTTTTTAGAATGGCTACTTTTCTTTAAAAAAAAAAGGACAATATTAAATATGGATGAAGAGGTAGAACACTTTGACTTTTTATAAAATAATGGTGGGTTGTTTACAATTTTACAACCATTTATTAAACACTTTGGCATTTTTGAAAATAATATGAAACTTAACTTATCCTGTATCTTACTGTGTTGCACAAAGGAAATGAAACAGATGTCCAAAAACAAATACTTGTATGGAATATTCTTGGCTGCTTAATTTATAGTAATCAAAAACTGGAAAAAAAAACCCCTTCCTGAACTGAATATACAAACAAATTGTGATATAGCATACAAGAAAATGACTAAAAATAAAAAATTATACATTTTTAAAACATAAATGGATCTCAAAAATATTATGTTTAGTAAAATAACTCAGAAACAAAGTGTATATATTACACGATGCTATTTATATGAAAGATGAGAACAGGCTATGATAAGGGAAACCAGAACAGTGGTTGCATCTAGTGCTTATGCAGAGTTTGACAGGATAGATCACAAGAGATATGTCTAGAGTAATGAAAATGTTGAATGAGATAATGGTCGCACAGATGTATACAGGTAGTCCTCACTTAGTATGGTAGTGAGGGACCATTCAAGCTGAAACCTTGAAAAGCATTGTTAATAATCCATTGGAAATGTATTATTATTTTGTGACTTGTGAAACTTTTCATTAAAACATTAGAAACTCTTACTTTCTGTTATAAATGTGCAGAAAAACAGAAATAAAACTAGTATTTATTTAGAACACTAAAACATTAGAAACATTGAGAATTAAAGTGTTTTTTTTATTTCATTTTAAGTTCAGGGATACATGTGCAGGCTTGTTACATAGGTAAACTTGTGTCATGGGGGGAGATGTACAGATTATTTCAACATCCAGGTATTAAACCTCATATTCACTGGTTATTTTTCCTGATCCTCTCCCTCTTCCACCCCACCCCCTCCGATAGGCCCCAGTGTGAGTTATTCCCCTCTGTGTGTCCATGTGTTCCTCATTTAGCTCCCACTTATAAGTGAGAACATGGGGTATTTAGTTTTCTGTTCCTGTGTTAGTTTGCTAAGGATAATGGCCTCCAGCTCCATCCAGGTCCCTGCAAAGGATCTCATTCTTTTTATGGCTGCATAGTATTTCATGATTATTAAGAGTAGTTTGAATGGTGCTTACATTCTTTTATTCATGAAACTTACAGGGTGAGCATTTTCTATGTGTGGATGAGAATTATACTTCTTCATAAGTTTGGAATCATTTTGAAAATTTAATCTTTGTGCTTTTATATTTTGAAAAGTTCTTTAGTATAAAGTTTTCCTAGCATCACTTCCTCTGGGATATCTGCAACCTTTCATTACAACCACTTCCTTAATTTACTTTAATAAGTTCACCTTTACTAAGATAAGTCTTCATAGCTAGATAAGGCTTAATTGAATGGTGGCACAGCATTCCCACAGTCATTATTTATTCTGTAATTCCATCTACATTCTATTCAAATTTCACTTCTAGTATTTTCAGTTGTAATATTTGCTGCAGTTCCCTCTTGGTTGGACAATTTGATACTTTATTTTATTTATTTATTTATTTGGAGATGGAGTCTCACTCTGTTGCCCACCCTGGAGTGTAGAGGTGCAATCTCGACTTACTGCAACCTCTGACACCTGAGTTCAAGCAATTCTCATGTCTCAGCCTCCCAGGTAGCTGGGACTACATGGGTCTGCCACCACGCCTGGCTAATTTTTGTATTTTTAGTAGAGACGGGGTTTCGCCATGTTGGCCAGGCTGGTTTTGAACTCCTGACAGGTGATCTGCCATTTTGGTCTCTCAAAGTGCTGGGATTACAGGCGTGAGCCACCGCTTCTGGCCTGATATTTTATTTTATTTTTCTGTATTGTAAAATGTCACATGAGTCACCACTGGGAGAAAAGAAGGCAATACAACTACGTGCTTTCCTACCTGTTGACAAATTGAATAACAGACTGCAGTAACCAGTCGCCAACAGACACTGAAATAAGTCATGTGATTGGAAGCTGATCATACTGCTCATCTGTGATTTGTGGACTGAAGAAATAGTGATGTTAGTGCTTTTGGCAATTATTTGCAGATAATATACTATGGTAACTTAAATTTGATTCACGTTGTCAGCAGCCTGGTATCTGAAATTGTTTCACATGGAAAACATGCAAAGTTGAGGGCAGCCTATATTTGTTAATACTATTTTATTTTATTTATTTTGAGACAGGGTCTCACTCTGTCACTCAGGCTGGAGTGTGGTGGCACGATGATGGCTCACTGCAGCCTTGACCTTCTCAGGCTCAGGTGATTCTCCCACCTCAGCCTTCTGAGTAGCTGAGACTATAGGTGCTATTTTTAGAAATATTTTTTCCAGAGATGGGGTTTTGCCATATTGCCCAGACTGGCCACTATGACTGGCCTTTGTTAATACTTTCAAAACATTAAGGTATGCAAGTACTTATAACCTTTGTATAAATCAGTTTTTACCAATTACATTTCAGAAACAAATAAATATCTTTATGTATTCTCAGAAACGTCTTTTATTCCTTTGACTTTTATACATGCATCTTTAGAGTATATATAACATATAGGACAGGGCTGAATATGATGTTTCAAAGAAATTATACAATTCTGATTCATTCACAAAATTATCACTCTTAGAAACATTTTTATGACTTGTTCATTACACAGTCCGTAACATGGAATACAGAATTGTAAACACAATGTTTCATAGAAATAATATCTTGAGTTTTTCATGAAAGTAGAACTTAAAGAATCATCTCTTATACATGTGATTTACACAATGTAATACATGGAACACAAAGTAATGAACACAATGTTCTACAGAAATAATAATACTTTTTTCTTGTATAACTGAAACTTTATACCCATTGAACAGTAGTTCCCCTTTAACCCTGAAAATCATCATTCTACTCTGTCTCCATGAGTTTGACTATTTTGAATAACTTACGTAAGTAGAAACATGCAGAAGCTTTGTTGTGCAGAAGATTTTTATTTTGATATAGCCTCACTTGCTATTTTTGCTTTTGTTTCCTGTGCTTTTGGTATCATATCAAAAAAAAAAAATCTCTATCCAGATCAAAATCACAAAGGTTTTCACCTATTTTTTCTAGAAATGTTATAGATTCAGATCTTACATTTAAATATTTAATTCGATTTAAGTTGATTTTTGTATGGTGTAAGAAAATGATACAATTTTAGTATTTTGTGTATTATTTTGTGCATGAATATCCAGTTTCCCCAATACCATTTGTTGAAGAGACTATTCTTTTTCCATTGTGAATTCTTGGCATGCCTGCCAGAGATCTGATGACCAATATGGGTGGGTTTATTTCTGGAATCCCTAGTCTGTTCCATTGGTCTATGTCTGTTTTGGGGCTAGTAAAACAGCTAAAAGTGGTAAACAGAGTATTATATTATTTTAATCCTATAACTTTGTAATATATTCTGAAATCAGAAAGTGTGAGGTCTCTAGCTGTGTTGTTCTTTCCCAAAATTGCTTTGACTATTCAGGGTCTTTTGTGGTTTCATATGAATTTTAGGATTTTTTTCCCCATTTCTATAAAAAAATACCATTTAGATTTTGATAGGGATTGCAATATATCTGTAGATTGCTTTGGGTAGTATGGACATTTTAAGAAATTAATTTTTCCAATCTATGGACATGAAGGGCTTTCCATTTGTTTTTCTCTTTTTAATTACTTTCATAGATGTTATATAGTTTTTTATGTACAAGTTACTTACCTCCTTGATTGTTTATACCTAAATAGTTTATCTTTTTTGATGTCATTGTAAATAAAATTGTTTCTTAATTTCCTATTCAGATAACTCACTATTATTGTAAAGGAATACAACTGGTTTTTGCATGTTCATTTTGTATCCTGTAATTTTACTGAATTCATTAGTTCTAAAAGAATTTTGAATGTGTCCCAGAGATTCTGGTATCTTGTGTCTTTGTTCTCATTGGTTTCAAAGAAAATCTTTATTTCTGCCTTCATTTCATTATGTGCCCAGTAGTCATTCAGGAGCAGGTTGTTCAGTTTCCATGTAGTTGAGTGGTTTTGAGTGAGTTTCTTAATCCTGAGTTCTAGTTTGATTGCACTGTGGTCTGAGAGACAGTTTGTTATAATTTCTGTTCTTTTACGTTTGCTAAGGAGTGCTTTACTTCCAACTATGTGGTCAATTTTGGAATAGGTGTGGTGTGGTGCTGAAAAGAATGTATATTCTGTTGATTTGAGATGGACAGTTCTGTAAATGTCTATTAGGTCCGCGTGGTGCAGAGCTGAGTTCAATTCCTGGATATCCTTGTTAACTTTCTGTCTTGTTGATCTGTCTAACGTTGACAGTGGGGTGTTAAAGTCTCCCATTATTATCGTGTGGAAGTCTAAGTCTCTTTGTAGGTCACTCAGGACTTGCTTTATGAATCTGGGTGCTCCTGTATTGGGTGCATATATATTTAGGATAGTTAGTTCTTCTTGTTGAATTGATCCCTTTACCATTATGTAATGGCCTTCTTTGTCTCTTTTGATCTTGTTGGTTTAAAGTCTGTTTTATCCGAGACTAGGATTGCAAACCCTGCCTTTTTTTGTTTTCCATTTGCTTGGTAGATCTTCCTCCATCCCTTTATTTTGAGCCTATGTGTGTCTCTGCATGTGAGATGGGTTTCCTGAATACAGCACACTAATGGGTCTTGACTCTTTATCCAATTTGCCAGTCTGTGCCTTTTAATTGGAGCATTTAGCCCATTTACATTTAAGGTTAGTATTGTTATGTGTGAATTTGATCCTGTCATTATGATGTTAGCTGGTTATTTTGCTCGTTAGTTGATGCAGTTTCTTCCTAGCCTCGATGGTCTTTACAATTTGGCATGTTTTTGCAGTGGCTGGTACCGGTTGTTCCTTTCCATGTTTAGTGCTTCCTTCAGGAGCTCTTTTAGCGCAGGCCTGGTGGTGACAAAATCTCTCAGCATTTGCTTGTCTGTAAAGTATTTTATTTCTCCTTCACTTATGAAGCTTAGTTTGGCTGGATATGAAATTCTAGGTTAAAAATTCTTTTCTTTAAGAATGTTGAATATTGGCCGGGCGCGGTGGCTCACGCCTGTAATCCCAGCACTTTGGGAGGCCGAGGCGGGCGGATCACGAGGTCAGGAGATCGAGACCATCCTGGCTAAAACGGTGAAACCCCGTCTCTACTAAAAATACAAAAAATTAGCCGGGTGTAGTGGTGGGCGCCTGTAGTCCCAGCTACTTGGGAGGCTGAGGCAGGAGAATGGCGTGAACCCGGGAGGCGGAGCTTGCAGTGAGCCGAGATCCCGCCACTGCACTCCAGCCTGGGTGACAGAGCGAGACTCCGTCTCAAAAAAAAAAAAAAAAAAAAAAAAAGAATGTTGAATATTGGCCCCTACTGTCTTCTGGCTTGCCGTTTCTGCTGAGATATCAGCTGTTCATCTGATGGGCTTCCCTTTGTGGGTAACCCAACCTTTCTCTCTGGCTGCCCCTAATATTTTTTCCTGCATTTGAACTTTGGTGAATCTGACAATTATGTGTCTTGGAGTTGCTCTTCTCGAGGAGTATCTTTGTGGCATTCTCTGTGTTTCCTGAATTTGAATGTTGGCCTGCCTTGCTAGATTGGGGAAGTTCTCCTGGATAATATCCTGCAGAGTGTTTTCCAACTTGGTTCCATTATCCCCACCACTTTCAGGTACACCAATCAGACGTAGATTTGGTCTTTTCACATAGTCCCATATTTCTTGGAGGCTTTGTTTGTTTCTTTTTATTCTTTTTTCTCTAAACTTCTCTTCACACTTCATTTCATTCATTTCGTCTTCCATCACTGTTACCCTGTCTTCCAGTTGATGACATCAGTTACTGAGGCTTGTGCATTCATCACATAGTTCTCGTGCCGTTGTTTTCAGCTCCATCAGGTTCTTTAAGGACTTCTCTGCATTGATTATTCTAGTTATCCATTTGTCTAATTTTTTTTTCAAAGTTTTTAACTTCTTTGCCATTGGTTCAAACTTCCTCCTTTAGCTCGGAGTAGTTTGATCTTCTGAAGCCTTCCTCTCTCAGCTCGTCAAAGTCACTCTCCGTCCAGCTTTGTTCCGTTGCTGGTGAGGAGCTGCGTTCCTTTGGAGGAGGAGAAGCACTCTGATTTTTAGAGTTTCCGGTTTTTCTTCTCTGTTTTATCCCCATCTTTGTGGTTTTATCTACCTTTACTAAATGCCCACAAGAGAAAGCAGGAAAGATCTAAAATTGACACCCTAACATCACAATTAAAAGAACTAGAGAAACAAGAGCAAACACATTCAAAAGCTAGCAAAATGCAAGAAATAACTAAGATCAGAGCAGAACTGAAGGAAATAGAGACACAAAAAACCCTTCAAAAAATCAATGAATCCAGGAGCTGGTTTTTTGAAAAGATCAACAAAATTGATAGACTGCTAGCAAGGCTAATAAAGAAGAAAAGAGAGAAGAATCAAATAGACGCAATAAAAAATGACAAAGGGGATATCACCACTGATCCCACAGAAATACAAACTACCATCAGATAATACTACAAACACCTCTATGCAAATAAACTAGAAAATCTAGAAGAAATGGATAAATTCCTCGATACATACACTCTCCCAAAACAACCAGGAAGAAGTTGAATCTCTGAATAGACCAGTAATAGGCTCTGAAATAGAGGCAATAATTAATAGCTTACCAACCAAAAAAAGTCCAGCACCAGATGGATTCACAGCTGAATTCTACCAGAGGTACAAGGAGGAGCTGGTATCATTCCTTCTGAAACTATTCCAATCAATAGAAAAAGAGGGAATCCTCTCTAACTCATTTTATGAGGCCAGCATCATCCTGATACCAAAGCCTGGCAGAGACACAACAAAAAAAGAGAATTTCAGACCAATATCCTTGATGAACATCGATGCAAGAATCCTCAATAAAATACTGGCAAACCGAATCCAGCAGCACATCAAAAAGCTTATCCACCATGATCAAGTGGGCTTCATCCCTGGGATGCAAGGCTGGTTCAACATACGCAAATCAATAAATGTAATCCAGCATATAAACAGAACCAAAGACAAAAACCACATGATTATCTCAATAGATGCAGAAAAGGCCTTGGACAAAATTCAACAGCCCGTCATGCTAAAAACTCTCAATAAATTATGTATTGATGGGACGTATCTCAAAATAATAAGAGCTAACTATGACAAACCCACAGCCAATATCATACTGAATGGACAAAAACTGGCAGCATTCCCTTTGAAAACTGGCTCAAGACAGCGATGCCCTCTCTCACCGCTCCTATTCAACATAGTGTTGTAAGTTCTGGCCAGGGCAATCAGGCAGGAGAAGGAAATAAAGGACATTCAATTAGGAAAAGGGGAAGTCAAATTGTCCCTGTTTGCAGATGACATGATTGTATATCTAAAAAACCCCATCGTCTCACCCCAAAATCTCCTTAGGCTGATAAGCAACTTCAGCAAAGTCTCAGGATACAAAATCAATGTGCAAAAATCACAAGCATTCTTATACACCAATAACAGACAAACAGAGAGCCAAATCATGAGTGAACTCCCATTCACAATTGCTTCAAAGAGAATAAAATACCTAGGAATCCAACTTACAAGGGATGTGAAGGACCTCTTCAAGGAGAACTACAAACCACTGCTCAATGAAATAAAAGAGGATACAAACAAATGGAAGAACATTCCATGCTCATGGGTAGGAAGAATCAATATCGTGAAAACGGCCATACTGCCCAAGGTAATTTATAGATTCAATGCCATCCCCATCAAGCTACCAATGACTTTCTTCACAGAATTGGAAAAAACTACTTTAAAGTTCATATGGAACCAAAAAAGAGCCCTCATTGCCAAGTCAATCCTAAGCCAAAAGAACAAAGCTGGAGGCATCATGCTACCTGACTTCAAACTATACTACAAGGCTACAGTAACCAAAACAGCATGGTACTGGTACCAAAACAGAGATATAGACGAATGGAACAGAACAGAGCCCTCAGAAATAATGCCACATATCTACAACTATCTGATCTTTGACAATCCTGACAAAAAACAAGCAATGGGGAAAGGATTCCCTATTTAATAAATGGTGCTAGGAAAACTGGATAGACATATGTAGAAAGCTGAAACTGGATCCCTTCCTTACGCCTTATACAAAAATTAATTCAAGATGGATTAAAGACTTACATGTTAGACCTAAAACCATAAAAACCCTAGAAGAAAACCTAGGCAATAGCATTCAGGACATAGGCATGGGCAAGGACTTCATGTCTAAAACACCAAAAGCAACGGCAACAAAAGCTGAAATTGACAAATGAGATCTAATTAAACTAAAGAGCTTCTGCACAGCAAAAGAAACCACCATTAGAGTGAACAGGCAACCTACAGAATGGGAGAAAATTTTTGCAACCTACTCATCTGACAAAGGGCTAATATCCAGAATCTACAATGAACTCCAACAAATTTACAAGAAAAAACAAACAACCCCATCAAAAAGTGGGCAAAGGATATGAACAGACACTTCTCAAAAGAAGACATTTACGCAGCCAAAAAACACATGAAAAAATGCTCATCATCACTGGCCATCACAGAAATGCAAATCAAAACCACAATGAGATACCATCTAATACCAGGTAGAATGGCAATCATTAAAAAGTCAGGAAACAACAGGTGCTGGAGAGGATGTGGAGAAATAGGAACACTTTTACACTGTTGGTGGGACTGTAAACTAGTTCAACCATTGTGGAAGTTGGTGTGGCGATTCCTCAAGGATCTTGAACCAGAAATACCATTTGACCCAGCCATCCCATTACTGGGTATATACCCAAAGGAATATAAATCATGCTGCTATAAAGACACATGCACATGTATGTTTATTGTGGCACTATTCACAATAGCAAAGACTTGGAACCAAGCCAAATGTCCAACAATGATAGACAGGATTAAGAGAATGTGGCACATATACACCATGGAATACTATGCAGCCATAAAAAATGATGAGTTCATGTCATTTGTAGGGACATGGATGAAGCTGGAAACCATCATTCTCAGCAAACTATCGCAAGGACAAAAAACCAAACAATGCATGTTCTCACTCATAGGTGGGAATTGAACAATGAGAACACATGGATACAGGAAGGGGAACATCACACACTGGGGACTGTTGTGGGGTAGGGGGAGGGGGGAGGGATAGCATTAGGAGATATACCTAATGCTAAATGACGAGTTAATGGGTGCAGCACACCAATATGGCACATGTATACATATGTAACTAACCTGCACATTGTGCACATGTACCCTAAAACTTAAAGTATAATTTAAAAAAAAAGAATAATTATAGCAAAAAAAAAAAAGATTTTTGTGGAGTCTTTAGGGTTTTTTAGACATAAGATCATACAGTTTGAAAACAAAGATAATTTTACTTCTTTTTTCCCAGTTTGCATGCATCCCATCTCTTTTTCTTGCCTAATTGATTTGGCTACAATTTCCAGTACTATGTTGAACAGAAATCACAAGTGTTGACATCCTTACTTTGTCCTGGATCTTAGAGCGAATGTTTTCAATTCTTCACTGTTAACTATGATCTCTGCCAGTTTCACGAGCACTCTGTCTGTGCCTGCCCCTTGGGCAGCACGCTGAAAGTTTGGGACACTGGAAGCATACTCTACTTCCTTTTTCTCAGGAGGGAGAAATCATAAGCCAAGGTGATTTTGATCAGCATGTTGAGTTGTGCTGCCTTGGGGATGGTTGCTGTGGATAAAATAAAATTGCTTTTCTTACTAATGTGTTTTGTTTCAGTTTTGTGCTCATCTGAAGTACTGCAACTTCTTACTTGGATTCTAAACCTTCCATAAAGTTATTAGCTCGTGATATTTATATGAGATATTGAGGCTTGGGACTTCCCATTCTACTATCTTGCTGAAGTTACTCTTCTAAATATTTTTAAAGAAAGAAACAAAAGTATAATTTCTAGTAGAAAATACAATATAAAAACAAGAAATTGTTTCAATTGTTTAAAATAATTAATTTAATTAATTAATTGTCTTAGTGAGTTTAGAAATGTGGCTGAATAAAAATTATGAGGTAAAAATTAATTGGAATTCTACACACCACTAATAAACAGAAAATGTAATTATAAATGGCAGTCCATTTCCAATAACAATTAAAATATAATCTATGAATACATCTTTTAAGAGTATATATAATTCATAAATTCTATAATGAACTTTTTAAAAGAAATTGAAATCCACCTAAATACCATATTCATAAAAAGACACCATATCCTAGAAAAAAGACATATTTGCAGATTGATCTCTATATTCAAAGCAATTTTGATAAATTTTAATCAATATCCTAAAAACATTTTTCACAGAATTAGTAAGCTGATTCCAAAATTAAAATGCATAATCCAAGCCCAATAATATTAAGAGGTGAAAACTGAGGAAACACTTCACACTCTATTTTGATACTATGTGTATAAGATATATTTATTTAAGTCAGGCCTGGTGGCTCATGCCTGTAATACCAGCACTTGGGGACGCCAAGGCAGGCGGATCACTTGACATCAGGAGTTTGAGACCAGTCCGGCCAAAATGGTGAAACCCCATCTCTACAAAAATACAAAAATTAGCCAAACATGATGGCACATGCCTGTAGTCCCATCTATTAGGAGGCTGAGGCACGAGAATTGCTTGAAATGGGGAGGTGGAGGTTGCAGTGAGCTGAGATCATGGCACTGCACTCCAGCCTGGGTGACAGAGTGAGACTCTGTCTCAAAAAAAGATATATTTATTTAAAAAGTGTGGTAGAAGAGACAAATTAATCAATGGAATGGGATAGAAACCACAGACACAGTCATGTTTATGTGAACACATTACCTATATTAGGTTTGTCATAGCATACCAATGCAGTATGGTATGGAACTACTTGTTAAATAGTGCTAAGACAATTGATTACATACTAATTAAATTAATAGATACTTATATCCTATGTAAAAAAGACTCCATTACAAACAGATTTAAATATAAAAAGCAAATTTAAATCTAATAAGACAGTATAGTAAAATGTATATAAGACTCTTGAGTAGCGAGATCCTTAAAGTACAAATATTTTAATCATGAGCTTAAAAAGGATATTTTGGTTATAATAAAATTAAGAATTTCTGTTTATCAACAGAAAATAAAAAAACAAGCACAAACTGGCAGAAGGTACTTGCTACATATAACAACATCACAGACTACTAATATCAGAAACATAAAGCCCTTACAAATCAATAAGAAATACAAATCTTCAACATTAAAACATCGGCAAAGGAGTTGCACAGGCATTTCCACAATCAACTACTTATGGCTTTTAAATAATAGAAAGATGTTTAATCTTGAATATTAAGAGAAATAGAAAGTACAATAACAATGAAATGTCTTTTACCATTATTACATGTCCAAAAATTAAGAATTCTGAGAACACCAAGTATGGACAGGACGTGTATAAATGCAACGTGTTTGTGGGATACTACAAACTACAAAGGAGTACAACCACTTTGGGAAACAATTTTGAATTATCATATAAAATATATTCTTCTTTCAGCCTACAAAACCAGCAGTTCTACACTAAGCTATATATCCTAGCAGAGATTCCCAACTAGCCTCCAGAGGCTCACAGCTGTGCAGAAGCTAGTTTAAAGATGTGCTAGGAAAATTATTAACTTAGCACTAAGGGTAGCTCAGCCTTGTCCCTTTACCTCAGAGTATTTCACATGGTCTGTATACTGTAAGATGGTTAAAATTAGCATTGATGAGAAGAGCAAAAACATAGAAGTGGCTTAAAATGGAAAACACATGAATAAATTGCAGTATATTTAAACAATAGCATGATCTGTAACAGAGAAATAAATAAACCACAATATAAGCAACAATATATGGTCATATAAATAGTCCATTGATGAGGAAAAGAACTCTGAGTACTAAATATAAGCAAGCTAAAGTTAGAGAGTATATACTTATATGTGTGGGTTTGCCTATGTATTCATTTGTATATATATAAAACCATGTTTCTAATGAACAGAATAATTATATACTATAATTATAGGATTTGTTTGTCTGAAAAAGTCGTTATGTCTCCATTTCTGAATGACAGCTTTGCTGGAGAAAGCATTTTTTTTTTTGGTTGGCAGGCTTTTTTCTTTTTTTAGAACTTTTAAAATATCATCTCACTCCTGTCCTGTATGGTTTTGCTGAGAAATCTTCCGCTTACCTACTGAAACTCCCTTGTATGTGATATGTTTCTTTTCCCCTGCTGCTTTCAGGATCTGCCCTTTGTCTCTGATGTTTACAATTGGATTATAATTTGTCATGGTGTAGTCTTTTTTGGATTGAATTTGATTGAAAACTTTTGACCTTCTGTTCCTGGGTATTTCATCTTTCCCCAGATTTGAAAAGTTTTCAGCCCATTATCTCTTAAAAAAGCACTCTATATTTTTGTCTCTCTTTTCTTCATTTAGCTCCTAGAATTTGAATATTTGCTGCCTTTATACTCTCCCATAAATCCTGTAGGCTTCCTTTATTTTTTTTTTCTTTTCTCATCTCTATATATTTTCAAAGAACCTGTCTTTGAGTTTACAGATTCTTTCTTCTGCTTGATCAGTTCTGTTATTGATACTCTTTTCTGCATTTTTATTTCACTTACTGTAGTCTTTGCTTCAGAATTTCTGGATTTCTTTTATGATTTCAATCACTCTGATAAACTCTTCATTTTGTTTATTGTTTTCTTGAATTTGTTTCTCTGTATTTTCTTGAAATATGCCAAGCTTCCTTAAAAGAAATATTTTGAATTATTTGTCTGGCAGTTCATAGTTCTACATTTCTTTGGCATAAGCTACTGATAATTATCATAGCATTTTGGTGGTAATATGTCTTCTTGGTTTTTCATGTTTCTTGTTGTCTTATAATAGCTATCGGTGCATTTGGTGAAATACTCAGCTATTCCAGACTTTTCAGGATAGTTTCAGTGGGGAACTACTTTCCCCTATAGGGTAGTGTGAGGGCACTGACTAGATGTGGTACAGTGGTTCTGGCACCATCAGGAGCACAACTGTGTAGTCCCTGTGCAGCTCTGCCAACTGAGGTTGACGTTGGACCTCTTGAAGCCCAAATGTAGCATGTGGGTTAGCTCTCAGTGGTGGCTGAGTTGGTGTCTTGAGTACGGACATGGAAAGAGAGACCTTGGTTCCACAGCCCAGGGTAAAAACTAACCTGCTATAGTGATTGCTCTGGTGTCTGAGGCATGGCTGAGTGCAGTGAATCCACAGTTTTGGGGTCCAGAGTATGGGCACTTGCAGAGTGGATGCAGCTCAAGGGCCAGGGTCATGTGCAAGGTTGGGAGAAGTGGTATCTCTGATCCCTGAATGTACAATAGCAGCTGCTTCTGGAGCGGAAGAAGTGTGCACCCAAGTTTTCCTCTCAGGGATTCCATGGCAAAAAAATGGCTGTTGTTGCCTCAGTGTCAAAAGAAGTCAGAGTCCTCTGTGAAGCAGGTCACTCAGGACCTCAAGGTCTTCCAGCACATGGCTGAAATTGATAGTATCTGACTTTCTCCTTTGTTTTGAGCCATCCCCCAGAGATTCAGGTATGCTTATCTCACCAGTGGTCATTTCTATCTGGATTTTCTATATATATTATATATATATATATTATATATATATATAATATATATAAAAATATATAAATATAAAAATATATATTTATATATAAATTTTATATAACTATATAATACATATAATTATATATTATAATATATAAATAAATATATTTTATTTATACAAATGTTTATAAAATATATTTATAAATATATACAAAATATATATAATATAATATAAAAATATATTATATAATATAAATATAAAAATATATATATATGTATTTTTTGCTTCATTGTGCTGGTACTGATTCTTAAATGGGCTCTTCAGCATTCCCAAGGCAATTCTTATTTATGTATAGCTGTCTACATTTTTTATGTGGTAGAGGGAGGGAGGTGTGGTATCTCCTACTTTGCCATTTTGGTGACATCTGATGGAGAAGATTATTAGGTACAGAGAAACTGAAGAAGGAACAGGGATAATGGAGATAATATAGAAACAAAATTGTCCAAAAGATAAAAGAGAATGGTACTCAGAGCACAAGTATATAGGCTTGTCTTTGAAAGGGACAGGAAAATCTACTCATAAACAGAAAAGAATAAGGGCTAAAGATACAAATGGTTCTGGATTGACTGGTTTGGTGGCCAAAAGATAAGAGAATTCAAAATTTTCAGATGAGTGTTGAGGGAGACACAGAATGTGAAGGAGTTTAGAATTTAAAAAATAAGTATGAGATAAGCAAAAGAGAAAATCAAGCTTCTTACTTATGAACCTTAAGTATTTATGGCTAGAAAATTTACGTTAACTAAAGGTCCCAGTTAAATTCAATCTGAGCGAAACAACCGAAAATACAACTGGAACTAATGAAAGTATTTGAAATTCCCTGCTTTCAGAGGCCTTTTCCACAAATCACCAATAATTATATGCCACCACTCTAACTTTATTTTAATCACAGTATATAGTTAAATACAGTTAATTGTAAGAAAATTTTGCCAGTGGAAATATTTAAAATTTCTCTGTCTAAACTGTAATTTCCCTTTGTCATTTTAAAATGAAGCCATTATATATTTTTCAATGATAAAAGAAAATAAAAATGTTAATAATTTTTATATTTTAGAACTTCAGTCCTTGAATTAAGTTCCAAAAGGAAATTAAAATCTCAAAAAGTATTATTTGCCAAGTTTTCCTTTGTAACTACTATTACCCAGAAGGAGCAGAATAGATGAAAATTACAATAGTAACTAGAGAGGAAAAAGAATTTTCACTGGATGGATGAGATATTTTACAATTTCTGCAGTTGAATAAATATTCTTCCTCAAAGTTACCAAGGAGCGGAAAATATTTGTGTCAAGATATTTCTACTGGATGCAGAAGCACACAAATGTGGTTTTGTTTTGAATTGTCTTTGGTGCTAGATTTTCAAGCCATACAAAAATTAATGTCTTTATAGATTTTAGACTTTATGAAGCATCTTCTACATGTTAAAAGCCAAAATATATGTTCTCCAGTGCAACTTCTAGCTCCTAGAATGCATATTATATAAGACTCTTTCCCCTATTAAAAAAACTGAGTCCTGGGCCGGGCGCGGTGGCTCTCGCCTGTAATCTCAGCACTTTGGGAGGGTGAGGCAGGTGGATCACCTGAGGTCAGGAGTTCATGACCAGCCTGAGCAACATGGTGAAACCCCCGTCTCTACTAAAAACACAAAAATTAGCTGGGGGTGGTTGTGGGTGCCTGTAATCCCAACTACTCAGGAGGCTGAGGCAGGAGAACCACTTGAACCCCAGAGGTGGAGGTTGCAGTAAGCTGAGATCGTGCCTTTGCACTCCAGCCTGGGTGACAGAGCGAGACTCTGTCTCAAAAACAAACAGACAAACAAAAACTAAGCCCTACCCAGATTTCTTTAGCCCAGCAAATACGTTATGTATCCTAAAGTGTTCTGCCTTATGATTACACCTTACTCCAACTTTGCCTTACAAACGGAAGTATCCCAGGGCATTATATTATCTTGCTGGATTACCCTGCCTCTGATTTCTATGTCCCTCAATGCTCTGATTCATCACACAGGCCTCCTAGCACATGTGCAAGCCTGGTGCAGCCAACCACAATGTAGTCACATCTTGATATCAAATAACTGTGACTTTACTCAAATATATTAATTACTTATTCACTAGATTATATTCAGTGTTAGTTCAAAACTAATGGTCTATCTTCTAAACAAATTTGACATTATTGAGAATAGCAGGATTTCAAAGAGCTTCAGCTTCTATAAATAGGCCAAAAGTAACATAATATTCTGATCATTCTAAAAAAAATTCCTGCTTTATAGAGCCCAATGCTGATATTCATGTTTGGGTTTATATATTAATCTCATTACATAACAGTCAAAACCTATCAGTGTGCCATTATCTATATTAAAATATAGGTGAATTCTATACTAAAGTGATAATGATTTTTTCCCACTATGTTCTAATTTCGGAATTTTTGGTTGCTTCTTTGCTCTGGAAGTATATCCTATAATTCTCTCTCCTCCCATTGCTGTACTATGCCCCATAGTATATAACATACTGCTAGTAACAGTGTAAGCATTTTTTAAAGTAGCTATTTGATTTTAATATTAATATTTAAATTATTAAAACCAGTACATTGCCTAGCATATAATATGTGCCTAATAAATGTTATTTTGAAAAAGAATCAAATGAATAAGTCCTCAAATATGTTACAAAACTCCTATTTTTGTCTTCAAAAAAAATTTTTTTTGAGACAGGGTCTTTCTCTGTCACCCAGGCTACAGTGCAGTGGCACAATCTTGGCTCACTGCAACCTCCGCTATCTGGCTCAAGCGATCCTCTCACCTCAGCTTCTTGAGTAGCTGGGACCGCAGGTGCATGCCACCATGCTAGGCTAATTTTCTGTATTTTTTGTAAAGACAGGGTTACACCATGTTACCCAGACTGGTCTCAAACTTCTGGTCTCAAGTGATCCTTCCACCGTGACCTCCCAAAGTGCTGGGATTACAAGTGTGAACCACCGCACCCAGCCTCTTCAAAATTTTAGATTCTGAAGCACTTTCATAAAAAGCCTATTCCATCAGCCTGTATTTCTCACTTGGTTGCATGTTAATTTGTCTGACATACTCTCCTTGGAAACTTCTCTCTCCTTACATGTTCTAACATGTCTTCTGAAAGATAATGAAGGAAATGCATGGCACTTACTAATATAAGTTATACAACTGGCACATACATTTATAAAAAGAATGTAATGGAAGGCTTCCAATTATACCTAGCTATCTTCTTGAAATATCATTTAATTAAAATAAATATGATACATTCTTGAATTGCTTGTAATTTCATCACCTTAAGGTGCTTGCACTAAAATAAAGAAAATGTGAATGAAGTAAATGTAGAAAAATAATAGGCCATATTATTTAAATTCCATAGTAAAAAAAAAATAAATAAATAAAATAAATTCCATAGTAGAAGAAAACTAAGCATACTAAAAACAAACAACACCAGACAGCTTTTTCAGCCCTGGCCCTTTAATGTCCTCTGAAATTTAAAAGAATAGCTTACATGCAAACAGTAATAGCAAAGGAAAGATCAGAAGGATCTAATGCTTGCAAAATTATTTACATTTGAGACCAACTCATATTTAGGAGACAGATGTAACTTTTTATTCTCCTTATCCCCCTCATCTCTAACAGAAAGAAATACTAACCTTGTTGGGCAGATTCTAAGACATTAATGTTAGTAAACATTGAGTGGCCCAGTGATGACACAATAAAAAATAAAATGCAGAGGTATTCCTGTAAGATGCAGAAAAGAAATTTGTATGCAGTGAAACAGTAGATCCCTGAATACTGAGGTCTTACCTCCTTTCCATTCCCCTCCCTATTAACAAATCTAAAATTGTAAAAATATATGATGACCAAGTGCTGTAATATTTTAACCTGAAAGATACCCTACTCTGTGGAAGCCACTGATTTAAAGGTTTGCTTCCATAAAATACCAAGAAAGCAGAAGGGAGTTTCCTCTCAATTGCAATCTTGACTTCATGGATATTTTTTGCACTGATAGCAGAGTAATAAAATGAAACAAGCAAAAATTGAATTGTTATGCTCATGCTTCCTCAAACCTGGGCAAATGTTTTGCTGCCTGCTGTAGTTAAAAGGGAGGAGTATGCTCCGTTAAATTTACATCCAAATTTTGATCCCAAGCACTTTTTTTATAGAAAAGAAAACAATAAATGCGGTAATATTTGCTCAGAAAACCTTTGTTGATTTATTAAAATTATACAAAAATAAGAGCTGAACAATCTTAGATATGAAATCATAATCACTAATTCAATTTAAAAAATAAGCCACACTGTTCCAATTTAATTTAAAATCAAACTCAATTGGAGGAACAGAAAATATGATATACAGCGTGAGTCTAGATTTCAGTAAGAATTATGAAAGTTTCTCTCTTGCTATCCAAACATGTAAGTTGAAAATTAAACTCATTCCAGAAGTCATTTATGTTAGACATTTTTTCATTGCAAGTAAAAGAATGGCTAAAGTGGCTTAAATGGTAGGGATTCATTAGTAAATATTACCTACCAACCCTTCTGGAGATAGATGTCCTCAGCTTTGGACAATGCCATGGCTCAGTGTCTTAGGACTTTGTGCAGGCTTCTATGCAGTCTCCCTCCCTCTCTGTCTCTCTGTGTCTCCCTCCCCTGCCCCTTCTCTTCCTCTCTGTTTCTTCTTTACTATCACAAAATATCTGCCAAAACTCTATACAACATAATGTCTCACAACAACATACAAAAGAAAGGGGAAGAGGGAAGGAAACAAAATTACATAGAAGAGGAAGCTGAGCTTCAATGTAGGTGCAGTGACAGCCTTGGCTGATCCCATGGGGAACTGATATGATCCCAGAGTTGACTGATATGGCTAGGCCTTTGTAATCTTTCATTCATCATATATTAGATGTGTACCTACCTTGCAAAGGGTACCATGCCCTTGAGCAAGACACCTGTCTGTAGTACAGAAATCTTCCTACCTGATGGGGCTGGCAGCTAAATAAATAATTGGAGAGAGATGGCATATTTGTGGATTGGAAGACTTAACACTAAGTATGTAAATTATACCCAAAATAATCTCCTGAATCAACACAATTGCATTAAAAAAATTCTAGCAGATATTTTTGTGATAAATGGTGAACTTATACTATAATTTATATGAAAATACAAAGGTCCAAGAAGAGACAAGTTAATCTTGAAGAAGAAAACAAAGCTGAAAGACTTAAACCACCAAATATCAAGGCCCATTATAAATCACAAAACTAATTAAGCCATTGTGGCATCAGTGCAAGAGGAGGCAAAGAGGGACATGAAACAGAATAGAAAGCTCAGAAGCAATCCATTCATGTATATTATCTGGATCTATGAAGATTATTATAATGCATTGCAGTGAAGAATGGAAGGTTTTTCCAGTAAATATTTGCTGTCAATTGGGTAACTATACACAGAAACTGAACCCTGACTCCCACTTCACAACATTGTGGAAATTAAGTCCAGATGGATAGGATATGTAAATATTAGAGGTAAAGCAATAAAACTTTTAGAAGAAAACTTAAGCACATATCTTCATAACCTACAAGGAGGCAAAGGCTCGTTTATAAGACAGGACACAAAAAGTGCTAATCCTGGATATATTTGACTATATTAAGACAAACAACTTCTGTTCATCAAAAGATATCATTAAAAGAATGAAAAGACAATCCATAGGATGAAATAAATATGTGCAATACCAATATCCTAGAAAGAGGTTGTTTTCAGAATACACAAAGGATTCTTATAATTAGAAAAAGTTGAAAACAGAAGCTAAAGATGGGATTTAAAAGTATATGGAATATATTTTTCAGAGTATATTCTATACTTTATCATATAATAAAAAGTTAAAGACATAAAATCCATACAATTTTTCCTCTTTCAGAGTCAAAATGATTTTTATGCTAATGCTATTTCTTTAACACACTCATATATTTACTTGTGCTTGCTCCTTTAATTAACAAAACCTATTTTCTCTCAATATTGATAATGTCACTTCTTAATGCATGCTGAAGAGATTTGTATATCAAACTTTAGGACACAGCCTAAACTGGAGATTTGTAGTTGAGTTTGCTATTCAGCCTGACATTCACTTTTCTGAGTAACAGGGTCAAACAATGTGTTCTGAAAAGCAGAAATAGCAAAAAAAAAAAAAAAAAAAAAAAAAAAATTAAATAACATTTTAAAATATTGTCATTTATTTAACAGTATTTTATTTCACCACAGATATATGTTGGCCCCCAAATTCAATTTTATTATATTAACATGCTAGGCTCTTTTGGCTTAAATATAAGTTTTGAAACTATTTCAATAAAAAAGTTATGAGTATTTTAATTAATTTCATTGAAATAGATGTAGAACTAGGTCTGCCAGGATAAGGTAGCTTCTGGTATCTTTGATTTAATAAACATAGGATTTTTAGGTACTATTTTGATCACTAGACGGAGCTTATATAGCATTACCAAAATTATAAAAATATGGAGAAACAATATAAAACTAATTTGAATAAAGAAATGCAGGGAATTTAAATTATAAAAGAAGTTAAATCTCTTGTGTATGTCAGAGTCCGTGATGGGTAAAGATTTTTATTAAAATCCATTTATAAAGACACCAGTGATTTGAATAAGAAGTGAAAACTTCATACATTTCAGGTGATTTGAATGCAAAAAATTGGACATCAGAAAATACAAATTGACTTTTATTTTTTATAATAAGACATATAAAAATTAGTGATTATTTGTCAAATAACATTTAGTTTGAGGTCACAAGTATAAAGAAATGTGTAAAAATAGTAAGGTAAAATGTGAAATACAATATTGTTTAAAGTGGAAAGGAGAAACTATATACTACACCCACAATGAGGACTGAATGGTAAAAATGCTAACCTAGCAAAGAAAAATTTGGTGATCACTCCAGATTGTAGTCTGAATCAGCAAGAATGATAAGAAAGGAAATATACCACATGGATTAGAGAAACTGCATGGTAATTCTCCAGGCGTACTATTCATCTAAAGCTTGGCACAGATGCTGAATTTTGAAAAGGACTAGAGTAAAGAAGACTTAGAAAATGATAAACAAATTCAACTTATGCAGCACAGTGCAAAGAACACTGGACAGTGAAGACGGGAACATGAATTCTCGAGTTTACAAGAATGTCACCACCTCACCAGAGGCCATAGTCAAGGCATCTCATTTCTCTCAGCCTCGCTGTCCTCATTTGTCAAATGAAAACATTTGCAAAATTATCTCATCATTTTCTTGCAGTTCTCGGATTTTACAATGAACTGAATTAATAATACATGGGCAATTGAGAGACTATTAAAATCCACTCTAGTGGACTTTATGCATGTGTAAATGTATTTGACAAAAGTTGATTAGCTATTCGCTACATTCACTACTGACAGAACTGGGGGGAAAATGGGCTGAGTCAAAAGTAAGAACAATGTAGGACTAATGATTTTCAAGCCTCACTACCTTAGAATTAACTAGGGATCTCTTTAAAAATGCAGACCCTTAGGATTACATTTCATGTGATCTGGAATGTGACCAGGCATCAGTGTGTTTAAGTCTCCCTAAATGTTTCTAATTTTGATCCAGGCATGGAAACCTCTCAATTAGGCATGATAAAATATTACCTACAAATGATGGTTTTTAGATAACCTTCCTCTGTGCCAATAAATATTAGAAAGTCAATAATTAACTATAAAATGAACACTATAACTGTAATAAATATTAATATCTATAGAGACTTTAACATATTTACTTTTCTAGATGCCATAAATACATTAGCTTAATTAATCCTCTCAACAAAGTTTTCATGTATTTTCTTGTATTTTCCTATTTTTAAAGAGGGAGGCACAATCTTAGAAAGAATTTATAAATTGGAAAGTTCTGGACCCATGCAATGCTATCCTATGTGATTTTACCTTCAAGCTGCAGAATTTCATTTTCTTCCAGTTAAATATCATCCTCATGTAGTTATGATTAAAAATAAATTAATGGAAGAAGGTCAGTTCTTTTACTATACCCTACCTTCTCTCAAAAGTAGTGCATTAATACAAAATGCCTATTTACTGATTTCAATATAAAACATGGTTTAGTTTTCCCAAGTTATAATCTACATCACAAAATTAAACTCTTTGAAATGTATACTTTCTTCTGGAAAATATTAACTATATTTTAATTGTGACTGCATTACCTCAGATTTCTCATCAAGTTAGGTGTTCTAGAAACTAGAACATAAAATTGCTGTTCTTTTTCAAACTTGCTGTTGAAGTCATTACTATGACTTTCATTGTATCAGAAACTCTCCTCTGTGTTGTTTCATGCTGTCCCTGTGCTATTGGCATTTTATGACTCTTTGAGATTACGATATTTCAAACCTCAGTGACTGTATGTTTCCACTGGGATATTGGAAACAGACTTTACAGTCTCCACATACAATGCAATTTTTAAAATAAAATTCCATAAATTAAGGCTCTCATAAATTGCTGGAAATGCTGCTGTTGTAAGCAGCTGCTTTGTTGCATTTGATCCTCATGCTAGGTAGCGTTCATAGGGTATGGCATTTAAACCTGGGCTACTCTTAATTAGCATGAAGGTCTTGTGAAAAGATTATGCCTTGGCAAAGAGCTTACGACTATTAAAAAATGTCAGACAGAAGATCAATACGTAATCACAACTTGAAGTATACTAATCAGACTACACTACCTTGAAGAAAATATCAACTGAATCTATTAACTATCTAACACAGCTAGAGATCTGGCAGTAGAAGGAGGTAACAAACTGACTTGGAATCAACAAAGAAATTCAAGCTTCAGCTTCCAACCCACAGAATAAAATAGACGCCATAAGGGAAAGCCTTTTCAAAGGAACACACATTGGAATCACTTAATTCAAGGGGCTTCAGCAATGTAAATTTTGCATTTGAGTCATGAATGCCTAAATGGACATGAACTCCCATTTATTGATTGTTCTGTTTATACAGTGAGTAGAAAAAGAGAGGACAAGAGGAGACACTTTAGGAGTCAGGAGGTAGGCATATAGCAGATGATTTAGGAATGATTCTGAATAATTTGCTGTTCTCACTGTTTTGTTTTGTTCATTTGTTTCCCCGTGGGAATCAGGAATAATCCTTTCAAAGGGTTTTTAAGTGAAAGCCAAATTTTTTACAGCAGTCTACAAAGTTTTATAGAATGTGTCCTCCTCCTTGTCACTCATCACTCTGACATTTCTCCTAATACCTCTTCCTTTACCCTGCCCCAGTGTAACAGACTGAATGTTTATGGTCACCAAAATTTGTTTGTTGAAATACTAACCCTTGAGGTGGTGGCATTAGAAGGTAGGGCCTTTTGGGAGATTATGAGGGCAGAACCCTCCTGAACGAGATAGTGCCTTTATGAAAGAGGCCCCAGAGAGCTCATTTGCCCCTTGCACCACGTCAGAACAGAGTGAGAGGGCACCATCTATAAACCAGGAAGCTAGCCCTCACCAGACAATGAATCTGCTTGCATCTTGTCCTTCGACTTCTCAGCCTCCAGAACTGTGAGAAGTTAGTGTATGTTGTTTCCAAGCCATCCAGTCTATGGTATTTTGTTATAGCAGCCAGAATGAACTAAAATACCCAGCCACACTTGTTGGACACACCAGCCACACTTCCTCTGAAGGGTCTTTGCATCCACTGTTCCCTCTGCCTAGATTGTTTCTCCTTCTCCCCTCTTTGAAGTTTTCACTCAAATATCTTCTTCTTGATGACATCTTCCCAGGCCACTATCTAAATTGCAAACCACTACTAATTGCATACAAACTTTGGGTACCCCTCGGCTCTTGGTTATTTTTTTAGCTCTTATCTGCCATGTCATATATTTAAAATATTTATCTGGTTAATTCCGTTTCCCTTCCTCAAATACCATTTTGATTGGGGTAAAGACTTCTGTTTATTGCACAGTGTCATATCACTAGAATCTAGAATAGTGCCAGTCATATATCAGGAGATCAAAAAAAATTTTTTAATGAAAAAATGAAGGAATGGACTTTTGAATTGGACTTTCTTCTATCTTTTTTGGATGAGGGATCTCAAAGAAAGTCAGAGTGAAGGAGAATATGGCCAACTCTCACTAGTTTTGAAGGAGATAAACTCCGAGAGTAAAAAGAATATATAGCAGTGTTAACAAGGAAAAGGAGCAAGTAAATTTAAACCAAGCCCTACAATTTTCAACCATCCAATTTACCCCTAAGACACTTAACAAGCACAAGAAGTGTACACTCAGATTTCCTTCCTTCCTCCCTACCTTCCCATGTTGAAGTCTAAGCCCTAGACCTATGTTGAACAGTTTCTTTTCCTGAACCCATGGAGAATCTTCAGGTCTGGCCTTTTCCTATATTACAGGAGCTGTGGATGCCAGTTACTATTCTCCCAATACTGATTTCTGCACTTTGTTACTTCTGACTTGTCTCAATAATAACTCCATTTGATACAGCTCAGTTCCTAGTCCCTTCCTGGAGTGCCATGTAACAAGGTTTCCATTCATTTTGCACTCGTTTTTATTATGAGTAGGAAAGCCAACTCATAAAATAAAAGAGAAGTCCTGCCCTTTCTATTTAGTGATGGTTCCATCCTATGGAAAGAGGAGAGTCCAATCTATAATGAGAATAGGAAAAGTCACTGTAAATCTAGGGCAAAGACATTTCCCCATCTATACCACTATTTTACTTACAGGTAGAATGTGCTCCTTTTTCCAGCTTTTCCAGAAGTAAAACTAGTATTTTATCAGGGCAAGAAAAATATAATTAAATGAACTCTCAAATCTTAACAGTGGAGATTATATCTTAGAAAAATATAAAAGATTTTGGTTTGAATATTATTTTCCTGTCCGTTTTCATATAAGATACAGACAATCAGCCTGGAAATTCTCCAGCATGGGATAAGAAAGCCAGCTGGGGTTCTTATCCATATATCCATGACATATACTTTGGTAAACAAAAATTATTTATTAAGTACCCTGATAATGTCAGAAAGAAAGCATATATTATTATTTTACTCATAAAATAAATAACATTTGTTTATGTTTTATTTTATTTTCCAGTTATCAACATATAGCATTGGGCCTTGGTTAACATTTACTAACCTCTTACTGCTATCACTTTCTAAAATATATATGTTATTTGATTCAATCCTCATAAAAGACCTGTCATATAGATTATATTATTACCCTATTTAGAAGACACTAAAATCAACATAGTCCAGGTAATTTACCTAAGACTGGTAAGTAGAGAAACATAACTTGTACTCAAGCAAATTACAGAGCCCTTAACATACTTACCAGTCTGGTATATGAAATTACGTAAGTGAATAAAATTTTTTTACCTGTTCTTTAGTACACGTGTGTTAGGTCACATATCCATAAGAGCAGACATTTAAATGGAAACTTTGGTTGATTGATAAGGAGCATTTTTCCTGTTTCTGATAGGTACAGTTGTTTTGTAAAATGTGTTTCCAGCCCTGCATTATCACCAACCTGAACTAGGTCACTATCATGCTGAGCCTGAAATGGACGTAATTCATTTCTTCTACTCTTGCCACAATTTGAGCCATTCTCTACAGAGAAGCAAAGGATCTTATTGACATGAGAACTGAAATCTTGTCTACCCCTTGCTTAAAACTCTTCAATGGTATACAAACAAACACACTTGGAATCCTACTGTGGCCATAAGCCTGACATGAACTGGCCCTTGCTGATTCTTTTACATTCATTTTTGAATCACTTCTCCTCTCCTTCATTAAGCTCCAGTTATACGGTATTGTCAACTTTTAAATGGCTTTCCTTCATTATGGCCTTGCACAGCTTTCCATCTCCCTAGATGCTGTCTATGGATACCACATCTCTTCACCCTATTTGTTTCCTTCATGATAATTATAATTCATAATCATTTTGCTTGTGACTCATTCTTTTGTTTCCTAACCCAACAACTTCATAGAATAGTGGCAATGTCCACAGAGAAGCAAAAAAATCTTATTCACGTGAGAATTAAAACTATTCTGGCCTCTTAATAAAGCTCTTCAATGGAATCCAAACACAGTTGGAATCCTACCACAGGTAAAATACCAACTCCATGAGAAAAATGACTGTCGGTCTGTCTTTGCATCATCATGCTCCCAGTACCTATCATGGAGCCTCATATGTAATAGTAGTTCAGTAATTACTTGTTAAGTCTATCATATTGTTCTCCAAGTTAAAATAAAAATGGCTTCCAAATTCACAGATGAATTTCAAATTCCTTATTCCAGCATTCAAGATTTAAATAAGCCCTTGCAGACACTTGATTTCCTTCTCTCCTAAACCTGTTCTAAGCACTCTTGTCAACGAACACATCTATGTTACTCAAACACCTCCAACGCATTCTTATCTTGGTGTCTTTACTCAAATCATTCTCTTTTGCTTGAATGTCCTCTACGATTTCCAATTGTGCAAATTTCAAGTACATCTGCTCTGGCTCTAGGAAGCCTTTCTTTTTTCCCGATTATTTCCTGCCTCTTCAAAGGAAGATTAACTCAGTCTAATGTATATTTTGTTTGAAGTTTGAAATATCTCTTTATATAGAAGAGCTGTTTCAAGCATTGAAGCTAGAGAAACCATTGCCCCACCTTCCTCCATCATTTACTATCTGTGGATCTTTGTTTTCTTTGTCTATATAATGACAATAAAATTTTTTCCAACTCCTATTTTTTAAAATTAAACTTATAACACATGTAGTGTTGAGGTACCATTGATCACTAAGTTATACTAAGTACTAAATGTTCATTATTTAAAATCATAGCTGAACTTAAATTGCATTAGTTACTACATTTATTTGGCTATATGCCATAGAGATACAAAGAGATTATAAACTTTCTAAAAATTGAGAAAAATATATTATTCTGATCATTTTCCACCACATCTTGTGTAAAGAAGGTATTCAATTAATATCTGTTGACTTGACTGATTGCATTGATTAAAGAACATTTTTTCAAAATGAAGCTTTGTCTGTAAATGTGCTTCTTTCAGAAACAGGAAGACTATAATTAGCTCTTATTGTGCAGAAAATTCATAAACCTGAATTGCTATGCAGTTCTTTTTCTTCTACCAGTATATGCTGTATATAATGCTTAAAAATAATTAGCAAGTCTGTGGAGGTAATCAGCTTTACTTCATACTCTATCTAAAATATTTTAAACAGCATTTTACTGAGTCTTGTGGTTAGAATTCTGCATGATGTTAGTCCTCACTGGAAGCAAATATCTGACGTTTTTTTTCATTTAGAACAGTGACTCTCACATGCCACAGGCTGGCTAAATTAGATTCATCTGTGGTGATTATTAACATCACAGTTTGCTGAAATCCATGCCCAACTCACTCATCAGAATCTCTAGGGATGAAAGGCCAGGAAATTATACTTTATGCAAATACCTCAGAAGATTGTGATGTGTAGCTAGGTATAAGAAACTTCCCTCTTAAAAAAGCAGCTAATTGGAATCATTATGTACAAAACAAAGAGCAGTAAACTTTTCTACCAACTATAATTTCTATTATGATATCTCTCAAATGAGAGAAGTCTCAAGGTTTGGATTTTACTTTCACATAGATGCCTAAATGCTTCTCCAGTACATTCTTTCTTACTGCAAAAATACATGATAAATTTAAACTTATAGCTTCCCATTTTTAATTAAAAAAACCTTTAAATAGACTTATGGAGCTGTAAAATTAAAAAGTGTGTTATTTATAGATATGAATGCTTGTCATTACAGAATAAGCATCAATGAAATAAAAAAATGCATCAGTCTATCAAGTTTAAGAATCTGATAGCAGTAGCAGCTTTGAAATACATATCGCTTTTATTACTGAGTAGTATAATCATTTTACAAATTTTATGACATACCACATTTTGTTTATCCATTCACCAGTTGAGGGACATCTAGATTGTTTCCACTCTTTGGCTATTATGAATAATGCTGTTGTGAATATTCAAGTAAAAGTCTTTTGTGTGGACATATGTTTTCATCTCTTTTCAGTAGATACACAGGAGTAAAATTGCTGGTTCATATGGGAATTTTATGTATTTAAAGTTTAAGAAATGTCAGAATATGTTTATGCAAAGTGGCTTCACCATTTTACATTCCCACCAGGAATGCATGAAGGTACCTGTTTCTCTACATCCTTGCCAACACTTGTTATTACATGCTACATTAATGAATCTCAAAAACACTGATCTAAACAAATGAAGCTAAGTAGTAAGCAAAATACCACATATTGTAAGAATCCATGTGTATTAAATGTTCAGAAAAGACAAATCCATAGAGACAGAATGTAAATCAGTGGTTGCCTGGAAATGGAAATAGTGATTGACTGCAAATGGTAATGAGGAATCCAGAATAATAAAAATGTTTTAAAAAATGGGATCACAATGATGATTTCAAACTCTAATAATTTACTAAAAACTTGGGGGGGGAGGATCCAAGACGGCTGAATAGGAACAGCTCCAGTTTACAGCTCCCAGCGTGAGTGATGCAGAAGAGGGGTGATTTCTGCATTTCCATCTGAGGTACCGGGTTCATCTCACTAGGGAGTGCCAGACAGTGGGGGCAGGTCAGTGGGTGCAGCGCACCATGCCTGAGCCGAAGCAGGGCGAGGCATTGCCTCACCTGGGAAGCGCAAGGGGTCAGGGAGTTCCCTTTCCCAGTCAAAGAAAGGGGTGACAGACAGCACCTGGAAATTCCGGACGCTCCCACCCTAATACTGCGCTTTTCCGACAGGCTTAAAAAACGGCGCACCAGGAGATTAAATCCCGGCACCTGGCTCAGAGGGTCCTACGCCCAAGGAGTCTCACTGATTGCTAGCACAGCAGTCTCAGATCAAACTGCAAGGCGGCAGCAAGGCTGGGGGAGGGGCGCCCGCCATTGCCCAGGCTTGCATAGGTAAACAAAGCAGCTGGGAAGCTCGAACTGGGTGGAGCCCACCACAGCTCAAGGAGGCCTGCCTGCCTCTGTAGGCTCCACCTCTGGGGGCAGAGCACAGACAAACAAAAAGACAGCAGTAACCTCTGCAGACTTAAATGTCCCTGTCTGACAGCTTTGAAGAGAGCAGTGGTTCTCCCAGCATGCAGCTGGAGATTTGACAATGGGCAGACTGCCTCCTCAAGTGGGTCCCTGACCACTGACCCCTGAGCAGCCTAACTGGGAGGCACCCCACAATAGGGGCAGACTGACACCTCACACGGCCGGGTACTCCTCTGAGACAAAACTTCCAGAGGAACGATCAGACAGCAGCATTCCTGGTTCACGAAAAACCGCTGTTCTGCAAACACCGCTGCTGATACCCAGGCAAACGGTCTGGAGTGGACCTCTAGCAAACTCCAACACACCTGCAGCTGAGGGTCCTGTCTGTTAGAAGGAAAACTAACAAACAGAAATGACATCCACACCAAAAACCCATCTGTACATCACCATCATCAAAGACCAAAAGTAGATAAAACCACAAAGATGGGGAAAAAACAGAGCAGAAAAACTGGAAACTCTAAACAGTAGAGCACCTCTCCTCCTCCAAAGGAATGCAGTTCCTCACCAGCAATGGAACAAAGCTGGACAGAGAATGACTTTGACGAGTTGAGAGAAGAAGGCTTCAGATGATCAAACTACGAGCTACAGGAGGAAATTCAAACCAAAGGCAAAGAAGTTAAAAACTTTGAAAAAAATTTAGACGAATGTATAACTAGAATAACCAATACAGAGAAGTGCTTAAAGGAGCTGATGGAGCTGAAAGCCAAGACTCGAAAACTACGTGAAGAATGCAGAAGCCTCAGGAGCCGATGCGATCAACTGGAAGAAAGGGTATCAGCGATGGGAGACGAAATGAACGAAATGAAGCGAGAAGGCAAGTTTAGAGAAAAAAGAATAAAAAGAAACGAACAAAGCCTCCAAGAAATATGGGACTATGTGAAAAGACCAAATCTATGTCTGATTGGTGTACCTGAAAGTGACGGGGAGAATGGAACCAAGTTGGAAAACACTCTGCAGGATATTATCCAGGAGAACTTCCCCAGTCTAGCAAGGCAGGCCAACATTCAGATTCAGGAAATACAGAGAATGCCACAAAGATACTCCTCGAGAAGAGCAACTCCAAGACACATAATTGTCAGATTCACCAAAGTTGAAATGAAGGAAAAAATGTTAAGGGCAGCCAGAGAGAAAGGCTGGGTTACCCACAAAGGGAAGCCCATCAGACTAACAGCGGATCTCTCAGCAGAAACTCTACAAGCCAGGAGAGAGTGGGGGCCGATATTCAACATTCTTAAAGAAAAGAATTTTCAACCCAGAATTTTATATCCAGCCAAACTAAGCTTCATAAGTGAAGGAGAAATAAAATATTTTACAGACAAGCAAATGCTGAGAGATTTTGTCACCACCAGGCCTGCCCTAAAAGAGCTCCTGAAGGAAGCACTAAACATGGAAAGGAACAACTGGTACCAGCCACTGCAAAATCATGCTAAATTGTAAAGACCATCGAGGCTAGGAAGAAACTGCATCAACTGACGAGCAAAATAACCAGCTAACATCATAATGACAGGATCAAATTCACACATAACAATATTAACTTTAAATGTAAATGGACTAAATGCTCCAGTTAAAAGACACGACTGGCGAATTGGATAAAGAGTCAAGACCCATCAGTGTGCTGTATTCAGGAAACCCATCTCACGTGCAGAGACACACATAGGCTCAAAATAAAGGGATGGAGGAAGATCTACCAAGCAAATGGAAAACAAAAAAAGGCAGGGGTTGCAATCCTAGTCTCTGATAAAACAGACTTTAAACCAACAAAGATCAAAAGAGACAAAGAAGGCCATTACATAATGGTAAAGGGATCAATTCAACAAGAAGAGCTAACTATCCTAAATATATATGTACCCAATATGGGAGCACCCAGATTCATAAAGCAAGTCCTGAGTGACCTACAAAGAGAGTTAGACACATTAATAATGGGAGACTTAACACCCCACTGTCAATATTAGACAGATCAATGAGACAGAAAGTTAACAAGCATACCCAGGAATTGAACTCAGCTCTGCACCAAGTGGACCTAATAGACATCTACAGAACTCTCCACCCAAAATCAACAGAATATACATTTTTTTCAGCACCACACCACACCTATTCCAAAATTGACCACATACTTGAAAGTAAAGCTCTCCTCAGCAAATGTAAAAGAGCAGAAATTATAACAAACTATCTCTCAGACTACAGTGCAATCAAACTAGAACTCAGGATTAAGAAACTCACTCAAAACCGCTCAACTACGTGGAAACTGAACAACCTGCTCCTGAATGACTACTGGGTACATAACGAAATGAAGGCAGAAATAAAGATATTCTTTGAAACCAACAAGAGCAAAGGCACAACATACCAGAATCTCTGGGACACATTCAAAGCAGTGTGTAGAGGGAAATTTATAGCATTAAATGCCCACAAGAGAAAGCAGGAAAGATCCAAAATTGACACCCTAACATCACAATTAAAAGAACTAGAAAAGCAAGAGCAAACACATTCAAAAGCTAGCAGAGGGCAAGAAATAATTAAAATCAGAGCAGAACTGAAGGAAATAGAGACCCAAAAAACCCTTCAAAAAATTAATGAATCCAGGAGCTGGTTTTTTGAAAGGATCAACAAAATTGATAGACCGCTAGCAAGACTAATAAAGAAAAAAAGAGAGAAGAATCAAATAGACGCAATGAAAAATGATAAAGGGGATATCACCACTGATCCCACAGAAATACAAACTACCATCAGAGATTACTACAAACACCTCTATGCAAATAAACTAGAAAATCTAGAAGAAATGGATAAATTCCTCGACACATACACTCTCCCAAGACTAAACCAGGAAGAAGTTGAATCTCTGAATAGACCAATAACAGGAGCTGAAATTGTGGCAATAATCAACAGCTTACCAACCAAAAAGAGTCCAGGACCAGATGGATTCATAGCCGAATTCTAACAGAGGTACAAGGAGGAACTGGTACCATTCCTTCTGAAACTATTCCAATCAATAGAAAAAGAGGGAATCCTCCCTAACTCATTTTATGAGGCCAGCATCATCCTGATACCAAAGCCGGGCAGAGACACAACCAAAAAAGAGAATTTTAGACCAATATCCTTGATGAACATTGATGCAAAAATCCTCAATAAAATACTGGCAAACCAAATCCAGCAGCACATCAAAAAGCTTATCCACCATGATCAAGTGGGCTTCATCCCTGGGATGCAAGGCTGGTTCAATATATGCAAATCAATAAATGTAATCCAGCATATAAACAGAACCAAAGACAAAAACCACATGATTATCTCAATGGATGCAGAAAAGGCCTTTGACAAAATTCAACAACCCTTCACGCTAAAAACTCTCCATAAATTAAGTATTGATGGGACGTATCTCAAAATAATAAGAGCTATCTATGACAAACCCACAGCCAATATCATACTGAATGGGCAAAAACTGGAAGCATTCCCTTTGAAAACTGGCACAAGACAGGGATGCCCTCTCTCACCACTCCTATTCAACATAGTGTTGTAAGTTCTGGCCAGGGCAATTAGGCAGGAGAAGGAAATACAGGGTATTCAAGTAGGAAAAGAGGAAGTCAAATTGTCCCTGTTTGCAGACGACATGATTGTATATCTAGAAAACCCCATTGTCTCAGCCCAAAATCTCCTTAAGCTGATAAGCAACTTCAGCAAAGTCTCAGGATACAAAATCAATGTACAAAAATCACAAGCATTCTTATACACCAATAACAGACAAACAGAGAGCCAAATCCTGAGTGAACTCCCATTCACAATTGCTTCAAAGAGAATAAAATACCTAGGAATCCAACTTACAAGGGACATGAAGGACCTCTTCAAGGAGAACTAGAAACCACTGCTCAATGAAATAAAAGAGGATACAAAGAAATGGAAGAACATTCCATGCTCATGGGTAGGAAGAATCAATATCGTGAAAACAACCATACTGGCCAAGGTAATTTATAGATTCAATGCCATCCCCATCAAGCTACCAATGACTTTCTTCACAGAATTGGAAAAAACTACTTTAAAGTTCATATGGAACCAAAAAAGAGCCTGCATTGCCAAGTCAATCCTAAGCCAAAAGAACAAAGCTGGAGGCATCACGCTACCTGACTTCAAACTCTACTACAAGGCTACAGTAACCAAAACAGCATGGTACTGGTACCAAAACAGAGATACAGATCAATGGAACAGAACAGAGCCCTCAGAAATAACGCCGTATATCTTCAACTACCTGATTTTTGACAAACCTGAGAAAAACAAGCAATGGGGAAAGGATTCCCTATTTAATAAATGGTGCTGGGAAAACTGGTTAGCCATATGGAGAAAGCTGAAACTGGATCCCTTCACACCTTATACAAAAATCAATTCAAGATGGATTAAAGACCTAAATGTTAGACCTAAAACCATAAAAACCCTAGAAGAAAACCTAGGCATTACCATTCAGGACATAGGCATAGGCAAGGACTTCATGTCTAAAACACCAAAAGCAATGGCAACAAAAGACAAAATTGACAAATGGGATCTAATTAAACTAAAGAGCTTCTGCACAGCAAAAGAAACTACCATCAGAGTGAACAGGCAACCTACAAAATGGGAGAAAATTTTCACAACCTACTCATCTGACAAAGGGCTAATATCCAGAATCTACAATGAACTCAAACAAATTTACAAGAAAAAAACAAACAACCCCTTCAAAAAGTGGGTGAAGGAAATGAACAGACACTTCTCAAAAGAAGACATTTATGCAGCCAAAAAACACATGAAAAAATGCTCACCATCACTGGCCATCAGAGAAATGCAAATCAAAACCACAGTGAGATATCATCTCACACCAGTTAGAATGGCGATCATTAAAAACTCAGAAAACAACAGGTGCTGGAGAGGATGTGGAGAAATAGGAACACTTTTACACTGTTGGTGGGACTGGAAACTAGTTCAACCATTGTGGAAGTCAGTGTGGCGATTCCTCAGGGATCTTGAACTAGAAATACCATTTGACCCAGCCATCCCATTACTGGGTATATACCCAAAGGACTATAAATCATGCTGCTATAAAGACACATGCACATGTATGTTTATTGCGGCACTATTCACAATAGCAAAGACTTGGAACCAAGCCAAATGTCCAATAATGTAGACTGGATTAAGAAAATGTGGCACATATACATCATGGAATACTATGCAGTCATGAAAAATGATGAGTTCACGTCCTTTGTAGGGACATGGATGAAATTGGAAATCATCATTCTCAGTAAACTATCACAAGAACAAAAAACCAAACACCGCATATTCTCACTCATAGGTGGGAACTGAACAATGAGAACACATGGACACAGGAAGGGGAACATCACACTCTGGGGACTGTTGTGGGGTGGGGGGACGGGGGAGGGATAGCATTGGGAGATATACCTAATGCTAGATGACGAGTTAGTGGGTGCAGCGCACCAGCATGTCACATGTATACATATGTAACTAACTTGCACATTGTGCACATGTACCCTAAAACTTAAAGTATAATAAAAAAAAACTTATGAGTTGTATAATATATTAATAACCACCTAATGACATCTATATGTATGTATATATGTAAATGTGGTGTGCATGAGTGTGTGTGTAAATATATATATTCAGATCTGTATTTTCAAAACCTCTGTTTTAATTATCAAGAAACAGATATCTACTAAATTGAATATAGAAAATGAATATGAGAGAGCTCATGCAATTATCAATTTAGTGGTTATGTCAATTATTAATTTTCCTGTGGTTTCTGAAGTATAGTATGCCCTTTGTATCCATGGGTTTCACAACCATGGTTTCAATCGACTACTGATTGAAAAAATTGGGAAAGAAACCATAAAAATAATACAAATTCAGAATAATACAAAATAATACAGTATTATAATAATTATAATATAATACAATAATATAATAATTATAATACAAAATAATACAGTGATACTGTACTTATATAACACTTTCATTGTGTTTGGGTATTATAAGTAATCTAGATATGATTTAAAGTATATGGAAAAATGTGCATAGCTTATATGTAAATACTACACCACTTTATGTAAGGAATTTGAGCATCCTCAGATTTTGGTATCCACATAAGGTCTTGGAACCAATCCCCCGTAGTTTCCAAGGAACAACTATAGGCAATCCTTTCTTGAAGAATGTATAAAAGATAGCAGGGAATGTCCAGGAAATGCATCTTGCACAAAAATATATATACATATGGAATATATATTTTTATATCCCATTTTTAAATTAATACTCCATTTTCTATTGTAATTTCTTTCCTAAGTCATGAATTATTTATAAGGATTTTTTACCATCTAAATGTATAGGTGTTATTGGTATTTTGTTGTTAATTTCAATCCTGTAGTTTTGTTATTTATTTATTTATTTTTAAATTTCAACTTCTATTTTAGATACTATGGGTACACGTGCAGGTTTGTTACATGAGAATATTGCGTGATACTAAGGTTTGGGGTACAGATCCTGTCACCCAGGTAGTGAGCACAGTACCTGATAGGTAGTTTTTCAGCCCTTATCCACCTCCCTCCCTCCTCTAGCAGTCTACAGTGTCAGTTGTTCTCATATTTATGTCCATTTGTGCTCAATGTTTAGCTCCCACTAATTTCAACATTGTAATTTTAACATTGTAGTTTTAGTCTGTTTTATATACATTCTCTAAAACTTGCCGTGACCTGATTGCTCTAGAATTAGGTAATGTTATTGTTCCATGAGTAGTTAAAAAAAGGATCTAAATCTTTTGTATCTGCAGTTGTTGGTGTTTTTCTAATTTTGACAGCTATGAACAAGACCTGTAAAATTATTGCACGAATTTTTGTAAAACTTTTGCATGAATATTTAAATTTTCATGTATTTTAAATAAATACTTAGAAGTGGGATTACTAGCCATTATGGTACATCTATGTTTAACTTTAAAAGAAAATACCAAGGTGTTTTTCAATAGGGTATGCCATTTTCATATTCCTATCAGCAACATTTCTGAATGTGAGTTGCTCTGCATCCTCAACAACATCTTGTATGGTCATTTGGCTGTTTTAGCCAGGCTAGTACATGTGTAGTGCTGTCTATGGTGGTTTAATTTACATTTCCCGAATCACTGTTCATTCAGCTTTTCCCCCATATATTTATTTTAATGCATATGATTTCTTAGTAAACTGTCTGTTCAAATCCTTTGCCCAGTTTTTACTTAAGTGTCTTGTTTTCTTATTATTGAATTTGGGGAACTTTTTGATGTATTCAAGACTTATTTTTATATATTCTTGATAAACTTCTTTATCATATATACATATTATAAAATTATTGCAAAAAATTTTCTCAGTCTGTGGCTGATCTTGCTTCCCTTTCATTATCTTTACATTGCCTTTCAAACAGTGGAAGTTTTAAATTTTGATAAAGTATAATTTAATACTTGTAATGGATCATGTATTTTATGACATAATGAAGAAATCTTTGACCCAAAACACAAATATGTACCCCTGTGCCCCATGTTATCTTCCAGAAGTTTTACACTTTTAGGTTTACCATGAATTCCATGATTGATTTGGAGATTTTTTTTTTCTTTGGTAGGGAAATTTCTCGGATTAGGGTCTTTTGAGTGCATATGGTTGTACAATTGTTACAGCAATTGTCGAAAAGATTGCTTTTCCTTGACTGGCCTTTGCACCTTTCCAAAATAAATGGACCATGTAAGTGTGGGTGTAGTTCTAATACACTATTCTGTTTCATGGATATACTTTTTCCAATTTTCACTAATAACACAATGTCTTAAACCTTGTACCTCTATAATAAATTATGAATTCAAATAATGTGAGTCTTTTAAATTTGTTTTTTCAAGAGTTTTTACTTTTCTAGTTGCTTTGAATTTTTATATAATTAATTACATGTACATTATTTTAAAACACGAGATATAACAACAGAATAACTAATCCAATAAAAAGCATGTTCAACTATATGTTTGTAAGAAGCTAACATTAAAGATATTTTGAAGGATAAAAAAAGATACATTATGCAAACACTATTTAAAATAAGGCATGTTGCCAGGAGCAGTGGCTCACGCCTATAATTGCAGCATTTTGGGAGGCGGAGGCAGGTGGATCATGAGGTCAGGAGTTCGAGACCAGCCTCGCCAACATGATGAGACCCCCCCCCATCTCTACACCTTTAAATGATAAATTGTTATCTGAGAACTTAAACATCTTTAATTTAAACGATTTACCATCCAATATCATTGTGTTGCTTTACATTGTTTTTCTTGTGAGCACCTGGTAGACAGCCATAAAGAAAAGCCTATAAGTAGTCGTTTACCATGTGTCTTTAACTTTAAGGAATTCTATATTCTCATGCTACACCACGTATGGCCTTTAAAAATTTTGCTATTCATTTGTATGGTGATTAATGTCTGTTTTCTTCTTTCTCTCTTTTTTTTTTTTTTTTTGAACTCTGTCACAGGTGAGCCATTGTTCATTGATCCATCTCTTCTTAGATTTTAGTCTAGTTGCTTGCCCTGGGACCTCCTCTATGCTGGGTTAAAGAAAAGTTATGATTTTGTAAATTCTCAAGCTGTTCTTATAGTTAGGATGAGGTGATGCTCTTTCAACTTTATATATCCTAGCTAGAAGATAGCAATCATGAATTTTTAAGTCCCTGCTTACCTGGTTACTTTTTACAACTTGTCTTTTTTTTTAATTTGAAAAACAGTTTGAGTCCTAGGATGATGTTATTTCAACCAGACAGTAGTTTCATCTGATTTTCCAAGTCACTGGAAACATTATCTTTTTACATGACTTTAATACTATTTCTGGAATTGAGACCTTCTGGCCTACTCAGATATTATAAAGCTCAGCAACATTCTATGCAAGGTATCAGTTTACTTCTGCATGAGTTTCCCCCCCACCCCACCCCCATGTTGTGTAAGGTTAAGTGTTTTTCTCCTGTCTCATCTTGTTTGTAAAATAAAAGCTCCAAGCCTCCAGGTTCAGCAGATTATTTCAGGACTGGCTCCAGGATTTAACACTCTCTTACCTCTATAAGTGTGGCTTTAGATTCATTTTTGGTCTCTTCTAGAAACCATATTAACATATAAACCTAAAGCAAATATAAAGGAAATTTGAAGTGAATTTCCATGTACCCACCACCTAAATTCTACTACAAACAATTTAGTAATCATTTCTACATCTAATCACTTCTTTATTCATCCATCTCATTTTTAATGCATTTTAAACTAAACTTTTGACATCTCTAAACTTCCCACTTAAATCTATCAGCATGCATTATCATTAAATAGAACTAAATTCATAGACATGAAGTGAAGCGTGACCTGTTTATAAGGTATTGCATTGGGTCACCAAGCAATAAAGTTGAAAGTAGTTTGGTAGTACTATTCAGATATTCAGATATTTTCGGACAAAGCCAAAGTACTCAGATTTTATGCAATAGGTGAGAAAGAATCAATGCAAGTTTGACGTATGTGTGTGCACAGGAAAAATGTGGGGTATTGCTAACAGAATGAAAGCATTGCTTTAAGATTAACTGGGGCCGGGCACGGTGACTTATTCCTGTAATCCCAGCACTTTGGGAGGCCGAGGTGAGTGGATCACGAAGTCTGAAGATTGAGACCATCTTGGCTAACACGGTGAAACCCCGTCTCTACTAAAAATACAAAAAAAAAAAAAAAAAATTTGCCCGGTGTGGTGGCGGGCACCTGTAGTCCCAGCTACTCCAGAGGCTGAGGCAGGAGAATGGCGTGAACCCGGGAGGCGGAGCTTGCAGTGAGCCGAGATCGCGCCACTGCACTCCAGCCTGGGCGACAGAGCAAGACTCTTGTCTCAAAAAATATATAATAATAATAATAAAGATTAACTGGGCAATTCTTCAGGTAGCAGAAATTCTGTAATAGAGGCTGAGAGGAGAAGGCAGTAGTTCAAACTTGATGGGAGAGAAGTCTTGGCCATGGTTAAGACTATGGGAAGAGAGGAATGGATGGAGGTACAGACTCTTAAATGAAAAGGATAGCGAAGGTATTTAGTAACTGACAGGATAAATGTATGAATGATGACAAACAGTCTTAGTTAATGAAATATAATATCTCCAGGGTGGGTATATTAAAATCTTAAGTTTTAAATCAATTAAATTGTCCAGTTCATGTAAACAGATATAAATAATATAAAATCATATGGACATGCAAAGGTGATTAATTCCACACCTGCTTGTTTTCCAGATAAAGTGATCATTGAAGGTATTATTTTGGGGAATGTAATCTGTTAATCTAAAAATGAATATATCCTTTAGAGGTATCTTTTACTTTCGTATTAGTTGTGATTCCTTTGTGTCGTTTTTGTTTTAACTTTTTATTGTCAACCCTCAGGGGTTTATCTCAACACCTGCCATGCTCATTGACAGTTATTTTCCTGCTTAGCATATCTTATTTTAATATATGAACATCTGCTAAAGGGCTGCTTTAGAAATCCTCCATTCACAGAGTTCTTCTGCTTTTAATATTTTACTTTCTAACTTTATATTATCCTGCTGAGTTATAGGACAGTCATATTTTAGCTTAAGAAACAATTACTTCTGATGAATCTTTAATATTCAAGCTGATAATCAACAGGATTTATTTGGTACCTATTATATGCTCAATATTTAGATGGGCCCTGAGGATGAGAAAGATATATGATTTTCTCCTTATCCCGAAGGAGTTTACAACCTAGTTGGGGGAAAAAAAAAACACATAACACAAGCAAAGTAAACAAAGCAAGGTATTGCATCATTAAAAAGTTTATTGTATGGTGTACTGTATGGCATTACTGAGGGCAAAATAGAGGACTAAGGGGAAAAAAAAAAGGTTTCATAGGGATGTAACTTGAATAAAGATATAGGATTTGGGAAGAGAAAAGTTAAATTACACAGCATTACAGCCAAGGGAAATATAAAGTGTGTCATCTCAGGATAGTATTACAGAATTGCTTAATTTTTATTGCTATTTGTCCCATGTTATTCTTAACTTCTTTTTTAGATTAATATTATATATGATATTGTGTATATATATTTGTATATCATATTGCATACACACACATACACACAAATTCTCCTAATTAAATTATATACTTAAAATGTCTGTGATCTTCCAGCCTTAATTAACAACAACTTGATTTCTTAATAATTGGAAAGGCTATGTCTCCTGGGGGTCCTATTGAATAATTTTCTGCTGCTAGAAAAAATGTCTCATAACCTTTTTACAACTGTTATCTTATTTGTTTTATTTGTAGGAGTTAAGAAAGAAATTTTAGGGCCCCTAAATTTAAGCCTCATTTTCCTTTCACCCTGCTAATTAAATTTTAGCCCATAAATTGTTCATAATTTTAATATAAAACAATTTCTCTATTTACCAACTTCCCAAACAGAAAATTAAATACATGAATTTCAAAAATATAGAATATAAACCTATCTTTATATTGATAAATCAATTTGTTTTTCTTCTTGATGTTATTTGAGTTTCATACTAATAGGGCTATTAGGTTAAGCAGTCATGTATTAGTCTAAGTAAGCTAATTCCATGGTAATTTTTTATATAGCCAATAATTTAATATTTACATGTATCAGAGGTCATATTTAAGTAGAAGTTTAAATTGATTTATTTAATACAAAGGCAAAATTAATTTTAAGAGGCTAATAATTTCTTGTTTATCTAAAGATTAAATTTTAAAGTATATTTTTAAATAAAAATAATAATATTGTCACTGATAGGCAGCCAAAGAAAAATATGCATTTTATTCCTAAGCTAGGGCTTCTGAAATACGGATAACTCCCATATTTCAATGCTCCATGTAAATCCTGATTCCTGGTGCCCAGAATGGTAAGAAGTATTTTGAAGACTCAAAAGTTGCAGAAAAAAAATGAAGGACCAAAAACAGTCAATTCTGCTACACACTTTCTTCCTCCCTAATTTCATAAAGTTGTCATCTAGAGCAACTCTAAAACTTGAGGCTATAATTTAAGAGGGACATCATTCATCCAGTAACAGAATGATATACTTGTCGCCTATTCACTGAGAATTGTTCTACAATGAATTCACAATGGCATGTTGTAAATATGCGTACATTTCCTAACCTTCAGAAATGCAGTTTGAAAGCTGAAACACAGACCTCATCAAGAACAGCCTGCTGACTTCTCAGATAGGTTTTACAATGGAGTGGTGTCATAAACTCACTACAATTCTATATCTTGACATAGGAAAGCACAGAAACTTGATTTCACCAGTGTAACAAAGCTAATCAACTTTTCAACAGATTATTCATGTCAGCTGTTCTCAACAGTGTAATCCAGAATTAGAGTTCATTAATTTGCAATGGGAATTATGTCTTTTTAGTGAGTAGAATTTGCATATGTTTAATCCAGGTTAATCTCTTTCTGGAACTAATTAAAAATAAAAATGTGTTTACTAAACCTAAAATTGGGGGGGAAATAGACGTAGATAGTCTAAGGACATTTTAATCAGAATTCCTCAGCTGGTCTGCCATAGCACAATTGGAATGCTGTAACCTCTTCACAGATATAGCATCAAAATTTAATCAACGTATGCAATGTGACCTACATAAAGCATGTATTTTGCCTTGGCAACCATAGGCAGAGGAATGTATAGCTTAGCAGACCTCCGTGATGAACCAGGTATAATTTACTGAAGTAAAGGCTTATTGAGGTTCATGTAACCTACCCCCTCCAAAAAAAATAGCTTGTGTATTACAAGTTGATACAAATTAGCCTCATGAATATACGTCCTGAAGGAACTCCAAATAAGTAGTACAATAAGTGTAAATTGTATGTAACTAATTGAAATGTACCATCCAAACTGCACAACTTAGAAGCATTCTGCAAAGAAAAATGTTTTGTGTCACTGATTTTAGTCATAAAAGTACCTCATGGTTATACTTGGTCTCAAATCTTTCTTTTCTTGATATTCTATTCTCCATTAATTTCCGTGATCTCACTTTAGTAAACTGCTTGAGAGCAAAGACCGTGTCTTTATATTTAGTGCTTAGCACGTTGCTCAACTCAAAATATGATCTTAATATAGTAATATTGGATAAATGAATAAAATCATGTCCTTTACCATGTAAGCTTGATTCTTCTCATTTTATATTCTCTATTTTTGTGAATAGGACAATATCTATAACCACTTCTAAAACATGGCACATGGAAATCATGGATGACTTCAGTATCCACACTGAATTACTTGCTCAATTCTGATTTTGCATTTTAAGTACCTCAAATTTGTTCTTTTGTCTTTGAAACTATATTGTTACTATAGTCTTGGTTCATTACTAAATCATCTTTTTTTCCACAAATTATAGACATAACCAAATTAACCTAAAATTGAGAGTGACTGCATGTCGTTCTGGTAACAGAGGGAATTTATTGCAGAACAGGCTTACAGACAGACATAGTGATAGTCTCTTTCTACACAAACACACACACACACACACAGACATTTACAAACATGTGTGTACACAAACCTAAATATTAGCCTGTGTTTATGAATATTTTCCAAATATAATTTACCAGTTTCCTAATTTTAGTTGTGATGAAGGGTCAGGAATAGTCAAGAAACTTTTCTTTATTTGTGCTGGTCCTACACTCCCTCTAATCCGTCTTGCCTATTTCTCCCTTCTGTGCTGGACTACACATCCCTATGGCAACATCAGAAACAATGGGCTAATGTAGAGACTTTCTGAAACTGTCTCATGTCTAGTCCTTATAATATGGAAACTTCATATCTTGAATATAATTTTTGATCAGCTGTATTTTATGGCTTTAGTTGTTCTTTTCCTATTTTGCTACTTCACCTGCAGCAAGTTATAATCTCAAGACATGCAAAATCCACCTTGAATTCAAAGGTACTCTGCAAATTCCTGTCTGCCTTTAAGTAACTGTTTCAAATATCCTTTGTTCTGAAGGTAAAATAGGAAGAATATGAAAATTTCTCTGGAACTTAGGGGGAGAAATTATCTTCCAAGTCGAGCATGCCTAAATAAAATTTGCCACCATTCCTAAAAAGTATTTTTGTCTTTTTTTGTATTTTTTTCTCTTTCACCATTAGAAACTCAGCATTCCTATTACAATTCATATTTCCTATATAAAGTAAGTAGCAGTAAGTGTTTTGAAGGGAGTTTTAAAGAGGAGCTCTTTGCATTGGAGTTAAAGTCTTACTATATTGCTTAAATGTTATTTAATATAAATCGCATTGGGTACTCATCTGAGTGCTCAGCCTTCCGTTTGTTCATGTTATCCTCCTTTCCTTTAATTGCAAATACTGTTTGTGTATGTGTGTGTGTGTGACCAAAATTTGGCTGTATTAGAGGTGTTTACAGATGACAGCAGGCAAAGATATCTCTGCTCTTTAAAAGCACAGAGCAAATTATAGTCCCTGATGACTCCCTGACCCAGGTATAATCATAATTCACATTTGCATATCCTTTCTTTCAGGTCCTTTTCTCAACATATCCCCTCTCTCACCCATAAATGTTACCAAATTGGTGCGCCTGTGGAGTCGCTGTATTTACTTTGATGAGGTGTTTTGTAGCTATGTAGATATTTTCTATGAATATCTTATTAACTGCCTTTGTCTCCTTTCAGCTATTTATTAAAATATGAATACCTGGATATCTGGACATTTTAGTGTCAAAACTGAGAGAATTGAGTAGACCAACCCAATTATCTCAATGATTGAATGAAAATTTTAGTCTTTTATTTGATTCAATAGATATTTGCTGAATAATAGTGTCAGTCACATTGAAATGCTAAAATGGACCCCAGGCTCAAAGGTCCATTTTCTGTAGCTGCAATATTAAAAATGAAATGCAGTTACAGGAAATGGAGGTTGGAAATAATTTTTTCCTAGTATTGCATGTTCCCACATTTGTCTGAAATTCAATATTTTGGGGAGTAGAAGGTCGATAGAAGGAAGGAAAAGGAACCAAAATATATATAAATGCAAATTACCTAAACAGAAATCAATACTTATGAATGAGAAAGTGCTGGCTACTATTTATTAAACTAGCACATTATTATGTATAGAAAAACTATATGGATATGAATATGTGATATATATATATACACAAAACGTGTAATGCCTGTCAAGCTGTATTTTTAATATGCAGAAAATGTTTCCATGATTCTATTGTGTTGCCTGAAAAATAGGAATACTCAAGAACTACTAGACCTCAATAAAAAGTGCCAAGACATTGAAACATGAGAGACAATAACAGGCGCAGAGACAGAAGAAGACATTAGAGGAACCAAATATAGCTCGGTATACAGAAGACCACATAGGACTGAGAGTGATGAGAATAAAGTGTATTGTTAAGCCAGAGCCATAAAACCAAGGACCAGAATATCTGGACTTGATCCTGAGAATCATGGAGCACCTTTGAAAGCATTTCAACATCAAATGACATGACCCAACTTGTGTTTTTGAATGGTCTTCTGACTGAAGGGAGAAGAATGGATTTGAAGAGGTAAACCTAGAGGGAGGTGTTGCCATCATCTGGCAGAGAGGGGATGATGCCCTGAACTGGGACAGTGGGATTGAAGTCCAGTGTGGAACAGCTCAGCTGGATTGAATTCCACCTCTATCCTGGTTTTTTTGTTTTTAGTTTGTGTCTTTAGGTAACTTAGCTTAACTCCTCTATATCTTAATTACTTCATTTGTGAAATAGAAATAACAGTAGTATCTACCTAGTGGTATGCTGGGAAATGTTTAACAACTGGCACTCTGAGGGGAACAAAAGGTTTACTTTGTAGTGTTCATGAATTTTCATGGTATAAATAATGCCAGCATCTTCAAATTCAAACTACCAACATGGTGCCAACCAATTTACAAAATTCCTGAAAATTTAACTACTGGCTCTGGTAATCCAGTAAAAGCTGCACTTTGTATAGCTACCTCATAAGACTATTGTTAGGATTGAATGTGCAAATACATGCAAGCACTTAGTACCATGCCTAGTACATACTATAAGCTTATTATGCTAGGTATTATTATATTGGTTCTGATCACTTTCATACCCAGTTCTAATTATCATTATGTAAACAAACAGTTTGGTTGCTCTATTTATTTTTTTTTTAAAAAAGCCTTCTGCTTTATACATTTCTAAGTAAACAGTATTCATAAAATATCTGCTATTTCTATGGTCTCACAAAGTTGCACACTTTTATTCAAATGAATTTTGGAAACTATTTCTGATTATTTAGGATAATTATTTCATTTTTATCATTAGGCTTATTGAACTTAATCAAGTTATCAGGGAAAATTCAACAATGAATTCTTATGAGGACTTTTTTTTTAAAGTGTTTTTTTTTTTTTTTTGAGACAGGGTTTCATTCTGTCACCCAGTCTGGAATGCAATGGTGTGATCACAGCTCACTGCAGCCTCAACCTCCTGGGTTCAAGCAATCCTCCTGCCTCAGCATCCTGAGTAGCTGAGACCACAGGTATGAACCACCATGCCTGGCTAATTATTATTTTTTTTGAAGAGATGGAGTCTCACCATGTTGCCCAGGCTGATCTTGAACTCCTGGAATTAAGTGACCCTCCCCACTTGACCTCTCAAAGTGCGGAGACTACAGGTGTGAGTCACTGCTCCTTACCTAAATGTGTCTAAATACTGCAACAACGTTGGTTACATTGCAGATAAAGCACTATGTAGAAATTTATCCTGAAAAATTATTAGTATTACTAGTATACATCTGAAAATGAAATGCTAAGATACAAATTTTTACTACCAACAACAAGATGCAAGTCAGTATCCCTCTTCAAACCACAATGGCATATCTTTGTGTTTCTCTTAATTTATTAAAAATCATTTTTATATAGATGTATTATCACTAAGAAATTCATAATTTGGAAATGAATGTACATAACACATATAATGAAATTCAGAATTGGAAAAAAAAAGTTTCACTTTTCTCTGAACATTAATTCATATGAATAACCATTTCTAGGGTAGGATTTGTGAAATTTCCCATAGATGGGATTTTTGATAGAAAACATCTTATATAAAAAATAAGGTAATTGCTAAAATATCTGGCTAAAAGGCCCTGCTAGAAAGCAATTTTACTTAGAGACTAGGATAATTGGACCAGTAGCTATGAGTAAATTCCTGTGTGCATCAGATAGAAAACTTTCTATCAGGTGTCCTGAACCATAAAGGAGTTATGATGGTAGGATAACATTTTGCCAAGAGGTTCAAAAATATTTATTAAATGAACTACTTGTTGTCCCTCCCGAGGTCTTATTTACTCCATGAGTGATGGAAACAATTAATCTATAAATTGAAGATGCCATCTCTGCATATCAATGGCCAATAAAACCTCTAAGATGTGAAACCCATTCACCAGACTACAATTAATTGGTGTTGTTTTGACACTTGTTTTTAGGGAAAACAGACAAATCTCAAGGGACAGTAAGAAGAAGTACAATCAGTTTGATTGAATAGTCTTAATTTATAGGGGTATAAACATGGAACAATTTTATTCTTCCAATAACTTCCATCAACTCTGATCTCTCATCCACCTCTCACCCTTTTTCTACTGAAGGACAGTCATCTTTAGCGACTGCTCATTTTGAATCTATAAACTTATACATTTCTCTGTTACCTTCAGTTATTAGAAATGCCATTCTTGCTCTTAAGACTCAATCCTCTTCATTTTAAGACTAAGTATCACAATGACTGTTTAAGCCCTAGACAACCTTTTGCATTGTTTCCCATAAGCATGGAAAATCTGCTTATCTTTGCCATGCTGCTTTTGACTCACCTTTGTTATTTGTTCCCAGTCCCTTTCTCTTATGTCCTGACAGAGTTCAGCACATTGGCCTCAGTGACTTTCATGCAAGAGACAGTAACCCACTAGTCCCTGAGTTAAAGAGGAGAGAGAGAGTGGTTGACTATCGCCAATTTTATAAGAACAATCTGTCTCTTACAAAGACAAGAAACAGAGAAGAATTGCTCTTTTAAAAGCCCTACTTTTGGAAATGTTCGCCTACTCATTTTGTTTTTTCTGGCTCCAGCAGCTCCCAAGAATCACAAACCAAGAACAAAGCCCACTGATAAATTTTCCCTAGAGAAATCAGTAGTTTTATTAACAATGACTTAATGGCTTTGCAATTTCTTTGAAATTCTTATCCACCTTTAATAAAAAAAATTCACAATTCATTGATAATATAGGTAACTTCTTAGGTTATCTTGGAATCAATATACATTCAGCTATAATATTGAGAGCAATAAGTGTGAGGATATATAGTATCCTTAGTCATCAAAGGGAGATTAAATATATTTTTATTAAAATTTATCATTAAGGTCAAGGTAGCAAAAAATAAAGAAAAAGTTTCAGTAAATGTTAAGAATCAAAATGATGTTTTGTTAATCATCATAGTCCATACGTTCCAATTAATTAAAACTTCACTGTATTACATTCTGCAGAGGATTTCAAAGGAATATAAACCACCATCTCTGAATGCTAAAAGCTCCCAGGGCAATGCATAGGATCCCCAAAAGCATCCTTCTGAACAAATTAGATTCATTGTTCCTAATCACATATACTAAGGTGAGTTATTAAGGAATAAACAAACTGATGGTACCAACCCCTCCAGCTCCATCCCAGAAAAGAACTGGCTTTGAATATCTAAAGAATTTAAGTTGGCCTTACACAACCACTGACTGTGGATAAGAAGAGGAAGCGGGGAGGCACTGAAAAGTTTGAGCTTTTCCAAAACTTCAGGAGGAAATGAATTTTTAACTGTATTTTAAGCAGTTTTTTTATTTCTAATTTTTTTACTTTGTATAATTAACTGCCTTATTATTTCACATATTGATTGTTAGAGTTTCAAAATTGTACTTATTTTTTAAAAAGTTCCATTGTCTCCTATTTAGAAATGTTTATTCTGAATACATCCAATGTGATATTTATACTACCAGTCCTATTTACTCACATCCTTTCTCTCTCTCTTATTTGACTAGTTTTTCTTTTAAATCATTCTTTATAACTTCGCTGTGTGTGTAGTTTTGTAAACAGCATATGAGAAAGTTTTAATTAGTTAGCTCTAATTATATAATATTTTGACTGATCAAGTTTAAAGAAATAGCCTTACCTTAAGTTAATTATTTCATTTTAGATGGTATTTATCTTTGGCTTCCCCTTATTTTTTTTATTTTTTTTTTTTGAAACAGAGTCTGGCTCTGTCTCCCAGGCAAGGAGTGCAGTGGTGTGATTTCGGCTCACTGCAAGCTCCGCCTCGCGGGCTCACGCCATTCTCCTGCCTCAGCCTCCGGAGTAGCTGGGACTACAGGAGCCCACCACCACACCCGGCTAAAAATTGTTTTTGTGTTTTTAGTAGAGACGGGGTTTCACCATGTTAGCCACGATGGTCGCGATCTCCTGACCTCGTGATCCGCCCGCCTCGGCCTCCCAAAGTGCTGGGATTACAGGCGTGAGCCCCCGCGCCCGGCCTGGCTTCCCCTTATTTTCACTGGTTGGTGCATTTTTCCCATTGCTGCTTTGAAAGGTTTTCTGTAATCGATTTCATTAGTAGTCACCTTCCCTTTATCTTCTCTCAAAATCAGACAAATATTTCTTTACTATAATTAAAAATGAAGTATCCTTTATTCTTCCAAATGACTAATTTAAGGCCTCTGGGATACTTTCATTGACCCTTTTCTTTCCTTCTCTTTTTCTTTTCATCCTCCAATCTATTTAGAAAGCCTGTTATATCTCTGTACCTTCCTTCATCCTCCAGCTCTTAGTTTTGCCTAAAATGGTTCATTATCCAAATGCATCCCTCACCACACCATTTTTGTTTCAAGTCCTATTTAGCACCGATATTACACATTCCTAGAAAGAGTACGCTTAGGTATGTATAGTTAATTGTACTTTTGTAGAATATATATTTTCTTTCTCACAACTGTTTCTGTTCCTTTTCAATTTTTCCTATGTCATTTATTTTCTTAAGTGATTATATACAGAATTCTTGTACATCCTAGTATTTTGTCCTGCAAGTGAATAATACCTTGCAGAATTTGTAGGGATGGTCATTTTCTCTCAGTGGTTAATACATTCTATTTATCTGTGTCTCAGCATCCAGTGATGTAGATCACAAATTTATAACATGCCTGATGTTTATCTTATGTAGCTAATTTGTTAAATTAGCTTATGAATTCATGTTCTATTCACTATGGTGGCATAACAAACCACTCCAAAACAAAACAACAGCATGTCTTCTTGTGCTGTTCTCCATTTTGCACAAGACTCCGCAGGTATAGCCCAATTTGTCTCCATTGGGTGGTGTCTGGGGCTTATGGAAGGCTGGGGGCTGGAATCATCTGAAGGCTTACTCACTGAACTGTTGATGCTGGGAAGTTCATAAGTCAAAAACTCAAACAGGAGTCCAGCAGAGCCCCTCCTCAGGCATCTTTTTCCTCCTTATGGGCATTCTCCATATGGTTACCCTAGCATGGCTCATATGGAGTCAGGATAGCTAGACTTCTTAATTTCAAAAGCACAAGTTCTGAGAGAGAGAGAGGCCAAGCAGGAGTTAGATGGCCTTTTATGATCTAGACTGCAAAACCACACAATGCCACTCTCAATTCACTCTAATAATTAGAAACAAGTTTCTAAGGTCAGCCTGCATTCCTACATTCATGAAGAAGAAAATTAGGCCCCACCTGTTAATGAGAGAAATGCCAAATAATTTCTAGAAATATTTTATATCCTTCACATCCTGCTAAAAGAGGAAGAAGATAATGACAACGATGACGATGGTGATATTTAAGGAATATCACAATCTATGTACAGTTACTTTCAAACTGCAGGCTTAGAACTATATTTGGCTTAGGGAAAATTACCTTCATTGTGTGTTTAATTATTATCTCATTCATGTGTTTTTTATTTTGTTCTTTTGATAACTCTGATGGATCCACTATCTAGATTTCTTATCTTTTGCCTTGTGATTTGTCATCTATGTATATTTTTGTCTCACTATTTCAAGATTATTTTTTTGCACTTCATATGTTAGGCCACTAATTGGGAATCAAAATTAATTGCTTAGTAGGGAATCATGTTTTGGGTTTTGGAAAGTTCTTTAAGTTCTATACGTGGATCTGAATCACTGAAGTGATTTATGTACATATAAAAAAAATTTTAAATATATTAAATATATACATTTATATTTATGTTTAATATATTAAATGTATTTATATACATTTATATGTTTATATATTTAATATATTAAATATAGATTTGTATACATTTATATTTAGTATATAGAGCTAGATAGATAGATATTTTTATTCATGCTTTCATATGCCTCCCATACAATCTTTATTTTCACTGGTTGTATGTAGTCTGTTCTATGTAAATTTCTTTACTCTTAAAAATGGCATTATAATGTGTCACTTTTTTTCTCTACAGGCTTTCAAGCACATCCTAGATGATAACCATTTCCCAGGTTTTGGAAAGCAAAATGTTCTGTATGCCTGGGGCTTGTCAGTGTCAACGCAGCAGACTACCATTTCCCTGCTGAGGGACCTGCAGTAAGTTCCACTGTTCCCTGATGTTCTTTTCTGTCCATATCTAGGCGATGAAAACACCCAGCCACTGGCTCCTTCTTGGTCTCTTGGCAGCCAAAGAGGCAAGACACTTCTTCATGAGGAAAGTAGGGGGAAATGCAAACTTTCCTCATCAGGAGTCCACAAACGTCTATGGGCAAAACTCTTCCTGATATTTAATTTTCCATCTTGTCATCTAGAGCATCTTGAAAGCTGATATTCTAGTATTCATACAGTGCTCAAACCATTCTTTTTCTTTCTTGTTTTTTTTTTTTAGGTTTAACCTTAAAAAATACTAAACAAAAATATTACTTTGGGACATAATCCTATTTTATATCCATAATAAAAAATATTCTCGTCACTACATACCTTCTCATAATCTCCCTTCTCAATCCCAATCTCATGAATCTTAACTCCCAACTGTCGTCAAGTTACGCAGACATTTTAGTTGCCAGCCTAAATGAAGCTGCATATCTGTGATAGGATAGTGTCCTTGAAACTGTCCATACTACTGAGTTCCCTACCTTTCTAAGAAAGAGCTCTATTAGTATTGAATAATTTATTTCTGCTGCTAACCCAGCAATTTTAGCCTTTTTGCAATTTCAGTATTTTCGCTGACACATTGAAATTCACAGGGACCAGCCCTTTTCTTTTGATGATTCAAAAATCATGTCTTGGATACGGCAAAATGCTGCAATTAAAAAAAAAACATACAAAGCAATAATTTTCTTTTAACTGCTTAAAATGGTTTATTTGGGAAAAACACAAACCACTACTGGGATTTTTTTCTTTTAGAATTTCAAATTATGTTAGAAACAAGCTGCAAATAGTCTCTAAAGAAGATTGAAAAATTCGATGCTAACTTCATTTCAGAAAGAACAAGCAAAGAAGTAGACCTGAGATTTAAAAATTTAAGGTAAAATTATAAGAGGTTTTAGCAATCTCCTCCCCAAAAAGTTATGATCATATTTCTTTCAACAACAACAAAACAGTCACGGGGTGGGAGGGTCCAGTTGCTGATACATTACATTTTGTAACCTCCCTCTTTCTCCTATTTAAAAAGTAAACAAGTCCAAAGGTAAATTAAGTTTCAAAGATTTACTTTTCTTAAGAGTCTCTGACAGCTGAAACAAAGAAAGCTGTTGCTGTGTAAGGCCAAATCACAGGGAAGGATTTTAATTCTAAGCGAGCCTGAGGCAGAGTCATTCTTCAATGGGATATACTCCCAGATAAGAATCATAGACACTTAACAATAATCACTTCTTTCATGCCTGGGAATAAATGTGTGGTTACTATAGGTTTTTGGGAAAAGTGTCCATATACTTAATTTGTTTCTTTAAATCTTATTCTGAGATTTTTTAGTAACTTCTAAACATAATGTTCCTTAATACTATTTTGCTAAGTGTCTTTTCCTACAGGCTTATGTGTGTATTTGACAGAATAATTCATAGGAAAGATTGCTCTTTGATCCTAGTAGCTAATTATATCTTTTGAATGAAGCCTGGTGATCCAGATTATGTGGATAAATGACAGGCAAAAAGCCCCACGTGCTGAATTTGCACCTTAAACAGAAACCAAACATGATGCATTTATTCATGTAACAAGTATTTATTTAGCTACTACTCTGAACTAGACACTGCTGAGCATTAGCAATTCAAAACATTGTCCCCTTTCTCAAACATCACCATTGTCTGCCCTGAAGGCTATGTTGCAGGTAGTGTAAAATTCAGGTATCTCTCTGTAGCTTAATAATCTTAAGCATATTTCTATATTTAGGAATGGTAAGTGAGAATATTACCTTTTAATAATAAACCTTTAATTTTGAAATGGCTTTTTTTTATTATTATTATACTTTAAGTTTTAGGGTACATGTGCACAATGTGCAGGTTAGTTACATATGTATATATGTGCCATGCTGCTGCGTTGCACCCACTAACTCGTCATCTAGCATTAGGTATATCTCCCAATGCTATCCCTCCCCCTTCCCCCCACCCCACAACAGTCCCCAGAGTGTGATGTTCCCTAGGAAAAGAGGAAGTCAAATTGTCCCTGTTTGCAGACGACATGATTGTATATCTAGAAAACCCCATTGTCTCAGCCCAAAATCTCCTTAAGCTGATAAGCAACTTCAGCAAAGTCTCAGGATACAAAATCAATGTACAAAAATCACATGCATTCTTATACACCAAAAACAGAGAGCCAAATCCTGAGTGAACTCCCATTCACAATTGCTTCAAAGAGAATAAAATACCTAGGAATCCAACTTACAAGGGATGTGAAGGACCTCTTCAAGGAGAACTACAAACCACTGCTCAAGGAAATAAAAGAGGATACAAACAAATGGAAGAAATGGCTTTTTAATTATAGAAAAGTTGCCAAGATAGTACAGAGAGTTCCCATATCCCCTTCATTCCACTTCCTCTAATGTTAACCTATTACATCACCAACCACAGTTCATTTGTAAAAATTAATATATTAGTATTAGAATAATACTATTAACCCAATTACAGTTTACTCAGATTTTACCAGTTTTCCCACTTGTTCTGTCTCAGGATTGAATCCACAATACCACATTGGCATTTCATCATCTCCTGTGGTCTGTGGCAGTTTCCTAGCCTTTGATTGTTTTTCAAAACCTTCACACTTGGAAGACTCCTGGTCAGATATTTTGTAGAATTTTCATCAACTTGGGTTTTTGTGATGTTTCTCATGATTACATGCCATAGAAATGAGATGTTCCTTTTATCCCATTATATCAGAAGGTAGATAAAATCAACATCATTTATACTGATAATAGTACCCTAGACCACTAGGGTAAGGTGGTGTCTGACAAGTTTTTCATTTCTGTACTCAATTTAGTGGAAGTGTGTCATTAAATCCAGCCCATGCTCAAAAGGAAATGAATTCAGCTCTACATACCAAAGGGGGAATTTTTACAAATTTTTTGATGTTATATTACCATTTGATATGAGAAAGTATACTCAGAACCATTTTAACAATAAATTTATCATCTTAAAAGGCATAGGATTGGCTTGTGTTTTCAACATAGAAGACCACTAACTTATATCCTTTTCCTAAACAAGTATAGTTTTAATATTTATATTCCTAGCAAGGATAGGCTGGCCTTCACTCTCCATAGCATTTGAAGATTCACAATACTCCTCTAATCTAATCAAGTCAGTAGAAAAACAACTAAACATCATACTTACATATTGTCATTGCTGTTGTTGTTCTTTAAGTTATTACATATAGATAACTATATAATTTATCTTCTTGACTCTCGCTTTTGAGAGTGAACGAGAGCACTATTTACAATCATATCGAAACAAGAGGAACACACTTTCTCCCTACAGAAAGAACAACTACATAATTGACTGAATTGTAAACTTTTCAAAAGATTGCCTTGAGTCATACAATCAAGGGTTGTGACCATAAAAAGCAATAAAGGGAGTGGGCCAGAAGCATCTCAGAAAATTTAGGGAAATTCAGAACTCAGGTGATTTTGAGGCATGTGGGTGAAGGACCACGCTTTAAGACACACAGATCAATGTAGAGCCATGGTCTCAAACTGGTATCTCCCAGGCCATACTAAGCCCACAAATGGGCTTGGTTTGGCCACTAGTATTCAAACAGCATTGTTTTGATTCCCATTTTCAACAACTGAAATTTTTCACGTAAAAAATCCAAGTTCCTGACATTTTTTGAAAAATTTTTTGAAAACTGAGTTGACCCTGGGCTGTCAGCCCATGATGTGGCTACTGCCAATGGGAGCTAAGTGGTTAGTGCTTCCCTTTATAGTATCCAGGATGCTCCATTCCCAGTGTTCCTCTCACACTGTGACTCAGACTTAATACCAGTCTACTGACTCAGGCTGCTTGCTTATTGATTTTCCCAAACGACCTCTATAAGCATTTTAGTTTCTGATCTTCATCTTGCATTCATGCATGAAAGTCTTTAAGATAAGGAAGCTGGAGATGAGATTGGGTGTCTCTCTGATTCATTTCCCTTGCAGATTTGATATCAGTGCTCATCCTGAGGAAAGAGGAACTTTGTAGGTATATCAAAGACTTGGGAGCCAACAGTTTGAATTATGTTATATGGCCACCCAGGGAAAGATTTTTTCACATCCTGAATGCATATTTTACCAGATAACTCACTCTCTCCATTTTTATTTTCATCTAGAGCAGTGGATCTCAACCTGAAATCCACATTAAAATCACTTGAAGAGCCTTCTTAAAAATATTTATGCCTATGTTTATTAACAAATTAATTAAATCAAAATATTTGTTAGTAGGTCCTAAGCATCAGAGCATCTTTAAAGCTCCCCAGTTTGATTTAACATCCAGCCAGTATGGATACCCATTGATTTAGATACCCTTTATATCTGAAAAAAAATGAAAACACAATCTTTTAGAAACTTTTCTGTTGCCCAGATCCACCACTGCTCCAAACAAGGCAGTATTCTCATCTGCTGGCGAGGAGAGACCAGGAAGTCATTACAGCTACATCTACACTTTAGCATTTCACATCTTGTCCAGTGTCTTTATTCCTTTCTGCACAATAGTTTCAATATCTGCCCTTTTTTTTTTCTTATTCTTCAGGTCATACAGTCCATCTGCCATTCACACTGCAAACTACCCATGACCCCACTGAATCCTATTTCACTTCTGGATATGATGGACAATCCTAAATAATCCTGCGGTCTATTTAATTTTCCTACCCCAATCCTTAAAGTGACCTTTGATTGTTCTTAGCATAAAAATGAAGTGAGGCACAAACAACTTTTAAGTCCTACAGTAGTTCTCCTAGCACTAACATCTCTTATTAAAAACCTGACTTTCCTATCTACCCAGAAACTCCTATTCACCCTTTTACATTAACGTTTTGTAAAAATGTTTGCCTGTTGGCAAATGCTTGACTATTTTAAATATCTTCACAAATTTAATTATATCAGAACATCTCAGGGAAATACAATCAAATTTTCATAATTTTAAATTTTAATCTATTTTAAAGGCAAGATTTGCTCTTAAATTTAGAAAATGATAGAATAATATACTGTTTAATATCTCATTCAATTGCAAAACAGCTGGATTATGCCCCATGGTCCTTACTCTGGAAAACACGAATAGATCCTCTAAGCCTCTAGATTTCCCAGGATATATGATCTATCTCTGAAAGACATGGAATATCATTTTCCTTTCACTCCAAACAGTTGGAGAATTACAGGGTCTAGCATAGGATTAACACCTCTGGTGGAGGTCATGCATGAAAATTAAAATACCATTTTTCATTGTGCTGTATTATGCATTGCTACTGAAGCTGCAGAGACGTTCTCATTACCTCTCTTCAAAAACACTGTAAATTTTGTTAATGTTAGCACATCCTGCTATGAATGCCAATGCATTACGTGATATTTTTACACTCTTAATTTTTTCCCTTTCCTAGAATAAAGGGCAAATGAATCAAGGCTTGTCCTACATATTATGACCCTGATCTAAATGTCCTTTCTTTAGAAAATGGTCTGCGTATGTATAAGCATTAATCTGGAAAATATTTCTTTCCTCACTACTTTTACAAATGCCACTGATTCAGAAATGAAGCTGAGGACATTTATGTACATTTTAATTAGACTAAATCATGAATTGGTGAGTGGCCATCTGCTTTGTGCCCAAGGACATTGTCTCAGTTGACAGTTTGTGTCCAAGGACATTATCTTAGTTGATTATACTAATCTGAATCCAAAACTTTTACCTGCCAATTCTAAGAATATCAAAGATTCTGGGTTAATACATTTATTTACTTATTTATTATTGAAAGATAGAGTCTATTTGCATTACAAATGGAAGATGTGGTATGGGTCAAGTGTATGAAATCAATATCCAAGGCCACACAAGGATTAATCTTCATTATTCCTGTAAATATACTTAGTCTGCAGCAGTAGCATGGACTATTCAGGTTATTTATCTACTTTTCTAATTTTTATTTTAGATTCAGGGGGTACATGGGCAAGTTTCTTAAAAGGGCATATTCTGTGATGCTGAGGATTGGGATATAATTGAACCCATCACCCAGGTAGTGAGCCTAGTACCCAAAGGTAGATCTTTGACCCTTCACCTCCTCTTTTCCCTCCCTTTCTTGTAGTCCACAGTGTCTATCGTTCCCATCTTTATGTCAATGGGCACCCAATGTTTAGCTACCACTTATAAGTGAGCACATGAAGTATTTGGTTTTTTGGTTCTGTGTTAGTTCACTTAGGATAATGGCCTCTAGCTGCATCCATGCTGCTGCAAAGGACATGATCTTGTTCTTTCTTATGGCTGCACAGTATTCCAAGGTGTATATGTACTACATTTGCTTTAACCAATCCAACTATTTATGAGTACTTGGGTTGATTCTATGTCTTTGTTATCGTGAATAATGCTGAGATGAATATGTAGATCCATGTGCCTTTTTGGTAGAACGATTTATGTTCCCAAAGGGTAAATACTCAATAATGGGATTGCTAGGTCAAAAGGTAGTTTGTTCTATTTTTAGTTCTTGAGAAAACTCCAAACTGCTTTCTATAGTGGCCGAACTACTTTACATTCTGACCAACAATGTATATGCATTCCATTTTCTCCATAGTATTGCCAACATCTGTTTTTTTTAACTTTTTAAAAATAGTTATTATGACTCTTGTTAAAGTCATTTTAAACTTAATATGACTATACAAACTTCTGCATAACAAATGGAATATATGGTATGGGTAAATTGCATGAAATTGATATCCAATGCCACACAACGATGAATCTTCATTATTCCTGTAAATATACTTAGTTTGCAGCAGTAACATGAACTATTCAGGTTTTTTATCTATTTTTCACATTTTTATTTTAGATTCAGGGGATACCTGTGTACCCCCTGAACCTAATATAAAAATAGCAACCCTTTTTTTAAGGCCGGGCTGGTGGTAACAAAGTCCCTTTGTGTTTGCTTGTCTGGAAAATATTTTATTTCTCTTTTGCTTATGAAGCTTAGTCTGGTAGGATATGAAATTCTGAATTGGAATATCTTTCCTTTAAGCGTGCTGAAAATAGGCCCCTAATCTCTTTTGGCTTGTAAGGTTTCTGCTGAGAAGTCCACTATTAGCCTTATGGGGTTCCCTTTGTCAGTTATCTAACCCTTTTCTCAAACTGCCTTTAATGTTTTTTTTCTTTTTCATTGACCTTAAAGTCTGTTGACTATGTGTCTTGAGGGTAGTCATCTTGTATAGTATCTCACAGAGCTTCTCTGAATTTCTTTACTTTCCATGTCAACCTCTCTAGCATGATTGGGGAAATTTTCTTGTATTATATCTTCAAATATGTTTTCCAAGTTGCTTACTGTCTCACACACACTCTGTCCCTCTCTCTCAAGAATGCCAATGAGTCATAGGTTTGCTCTTTTTACATAATTCCATATTTTTGGAAGTTTTGTTCATTTTTTAAAAATTTGTTTCCCTTTATTTTTGTCTAATTTATTTGAAGGATTTGTCTACAAGCTCTGAAATTATTTCCTCCACTTATTCTGCTCTTTTGTTAAGGCTTCCAGCTGTATTTCAGAAATTCCTGTTGTCTATTTTTCAATTCCAGAAATTCAATTTGGTTCTTTCTTAAAATGGTTATGTCATCTTTCAACTCTTAGATCATTTTACTGGCTTCCCTGAATTGTGTTTCAACTTTCATTTGCATCTCACTGAGCTTCCTTGTTATTCAGATTCTGAATTCCATATCTGTCATTTCAACTATTTCAATATGGTTAAGATCCATTGCTAGGGAGCTAGTGCGATTCTTTGGAGGTAAGAAACATTCTGACTTTTTGAGTTGCTGAAGTTCTTGTACTGATTCCTTCTCATCTGAGAGAGCTGGTGTTTCTTTATTTTTTTGAAGTTGCTGTAATTTGGATGGGGAATTTTGTTGTTACATTCCTTTTCCCTTGAGGGTTTGACTGTGTTATATGTTATGTGTAGTTGATTGGCTTTCTTTCTGAATGCTTTCAAAAGTCCAAGGCTCTGTACAAGTTCCTTAGTTGTGGTTAGTTTCCTGTATTGAGTTGCACAGGTAATGCATGTTGAAGGAATTTATTTTTGTTTAGTGGTGTAATTTGGGCTGTGATCCTGTAGATGATGCTTAAGAGTGAGGGCTGGCAGATAGAATCTTAGCCATGCACCTCTTGCATTTCAGTGTATCCACAGCAGGCCTCTGGGGAGGGGGAAGATAGGAGTGAGGCAAGGAATCATTCCCTCACCGAGTCCATTTCCAGGCCTTAGGGGAGTCTCTTTCAATTGCTGGCACCCTGCCTATGTTTCCTTAGCTCCAAGGGGAGCCCTGACAGGCTGCACTCCCTATCCCCCACCCTTAGGGGAAGCTCAATCCAAAGTTTAAGTCACCAGAAGACCTGCCACACCATGGGGACCCACTGGTCCTCTGAGATTGGCAGAGTCAAAGCTGGCTGTGGGACTATATGTCTACAGGTGGTCTGGTGATGCAGTGGGTCAAGGGCAAAGGATCCATGGACAGTGTTGGCAGCACCACAGGTGTGCAGCTGATGTAGTGCTGCACAGCTCATGCTCCCCTGACTGGGTTTCTGTCCATCTAATCTCCCTCAGGATCAGGCCCAATAAGCTAGTTTTGTCCCAAACCTTCTTAGTCCAGATTACTGGGCTGTTCCATGTATTCTGGGCCCTAGAGCCCCAGGCAGAATCTGTGGCTGGTCAACAGGCTGTACGCTCCCTATACCAGTCTTGTAGAGGGAGAGATGCCCATCTCCCATGCCAGCACATAAACCTATGCATAACTTTTCTCAGTGTTTTGAGAGTGGGTGTTCCTTCCCCACTCAAGCTGAGGCCACAGATCCCAGCTTGATAACTCAGGATTCTGTGCTCAAACCCAAGGGATAGGGGGTTGGGGGTAGGACCTGTCAAACAGCGGCTGTGCTGGAGGGCCTTCACTGTTTCCAGGCCACTGGCAAAACACTCAGGCAGAGTGGCTGTGCTGTGTGCCCCCTCCTATGGGAGCAGCCAAGCAGGGTCCTTGTCAGGGCACACACAGATCAGATGCACCCTTGTCCTATAGGAAGGGCAGTCCTGCTTTCTCTCAGCCTGGCAGTCAGCGGGGTCAGAGTTGCTCAGAGCAAGATGATGAGTCTTGGGCGATGGGCGCCTATGGTTGTGTGTTGCTGTAACTGCCCCATGGACAAAACCTTCTGGGTTCCCTGCAGGTTCAAGCTCTGCTTCTGGCTACTCTCTGATCAGTTCCCCCTGCTAATTTATATGTCCATGGGGGTCATGAGATCCTTTGTAGCTAGGACCCCAGATGCCCAAGGTGAGAGTGTGGTGCCCTGGAATTCCTTCACTAACCCCTTCTTTAGCACTTGTTCAGGACTGGGAGCCAGTCCTGGTGCTCTGCAACTCCATGTAAGCTTCCCAGTTGCCTCCCTCTTCAACCTCGGTGTCTGTGTTGCCTCTGTCAATTTCAGTGTTTTCTCTCAAAAGATCTGTCTGAAGTGTGATGGTTTACTTGATATAATTTGGTTTCTCTTGGTGGGAGAGTCATTCTCTGGCTGTGTCTAGTCAGTCATCTTCGTCCCTCCCCCTTAAAGAGTGTGTTTAAATTGAACTATTTTAGTTTTTGGTTTTAGTCTTAATTTCACCCAAAATTTCAAGAAAATAGAAGGCAACTCTCCGTATCCTATGCAGGGTGCTAAATCAAGATTTGAAAAGAATGTTTCTAAAATATTTTTGCAATTATTTTTTCTCATCCACATTAAGGGTCTAAAGATTTGGGATAAAAGGATAAGTACACTTTGAATCTCACCAGGGCAAAAGGCAGGCTGGGGTGTGTTTTCCTCATCTCTAAGGGAAAGGATTCAGTGAAACCACAGGAAGAGCTTGTATTGTGATACCTGGAGCTGTGGCTGACAGTAGGCTGATACTGGCTCATACATGAGAACCTAAAGGAAAATCACTGTAGCTACTCAGAGAGGCATATTAGGATTAGCTTTCACTTCAAACCTTTGTCAGGGATAAGAATATATGTGTTCCCCATGTACAAAATGTGCTTATAGCATGATAAAATTATGCTCATATGCATTGCTCTCCAAAGGGACCACCTAGAATGGTACAAAGAACTCAGCAGAAAATAGCTTGGAGTGGGCCATGGTTTGCCTACTGCTAAAGAGATAGGTACAGAAAACAATTCAACCTGTGGAGTCTCCCATGACTAGGGAAGCTTCAAGTTAGAAACTGATATCAAGAGACGAATTCCCAAAGTGTCTTTTAAGTGCCTTACTGAAACACTCATCAAGGCCAGAAGGTCCCAGGGCAGATCATTATGTCCTGGAAAAACTCATATGTGTTTCATCCTTTACCTCCATTGCCTCTCCACTGCTCCCCTGCCACCATGTTCAAACAAAGAAGCCAGAAGCAGCCTTTTGCATGGGAAGGAGAAGAGGGCAAATGGAGGAGGAGATTTCTGATCGTTTTTTTCTCAGAAAGGTAGTCTTCAAAAGGCCTGCCCTAGAGAGAGAGAGGGGCTGCAAATTAAAAAGCTATAGGCATTTGAGTCCAGGTCAAAAATGGCAGCAGCTGCTGAGTCCCAGGTTTCTTGCTACTGGGTCAGTCCCACCCACAACTGGGACAGCCTATGTCGAGCAACGTCCATGGCCAGGAGGGCTCAGCTCACATGTGGAAGGCCCTCACCTACTTCATTGTGCTCCCCAAGGTGGCAATAAGCTTGCTGAATGTGTTCCTGAAGTCGCACCACCATGGAGAGTACGAGACCCGAGGTCATCACCTACCCCCATCTCCACATCACGTCCAAGCCCTTTCCCTGGGGAGATGGTAACCATTCTCTATTCCATAACCCTGTGTTAATCCACTTCCAACTGGCTACAAAGATAAAAAGAATCTGGACCACTATCCGGGCACTGGGACCTCAGCACCGGTTTGGACCATTACTCGGCTCACAGACCAGAAAAGTATACAGGACCTTAAGCTCGCCTTCTTTACTTGTAACAAATCATGACTAGCGTACTGATCTTCCATCCCTTTGCTTGTGGCAGGATGTGGCTTAAATAAATAACTTAAACTTAGAAAAAGAAATAAAAGCTATAGGCATTTGATTATTATTCTAAAATGGAAACAGTAATTACTATACTGAAACTGCCTCTTAGTAAATAAAGGTTATCCACAGTTTTATGATTACCTAAAAATATTATAGAGATGTCATGGGACTTTTACCCTAGGTTTTACCTAAGTTGTTGAAAAACCAACTGCTTAATGTGGGTTTGAACCACCAGTGGGAAACTGAATTAAGGTGTTTTCTGATTCTTGCCATCACTCCAACATTCCTTCCATAGAACAGTAACAATCTTCATGTGAAACACCCTCCCCTGGGGCAAAGTAATTCATAAATATATGTCATGGTTGAGGTCTGCTGTTCTAAATTTAATTGTTACAATGGCCCGGCAGGTAGGGTTGCCAGATTTAGCAAATAAAATAGAGGACTCTCGATGAATTTGAATTTCAAAAGAGTAAGGAATACTGAATTTTAGTATAAGTATATTTTAACTATTGCATAGGCCATACTGTTACTGAAAAAAAATCATTTGTTTATCTGAGACTCAAATTTATCTACTATCTTGTATTTTTATCTGGCAAACTTAACAGGACTTCTTGCATTGCCTGAAAAAAAGGCAGGGAACAGATTTCTGGAAGCCTATGAAAAGCTGGGAGTGACCAGGGTTATAGAAGGTGTTTAGCAAGGTAGACACAGATATATATGGAAAGGAAAAATATATAAATGCAAGAACCATGATAAATAGTTAAGGCATATAGTACATTCCCAAGACGTAGGAGGTAAATATGGCATTATTTACGACTTAATGTTTCTTTAAAATAAAGAAGTAGAGCAAATGATAGTAAAGGCCTGGAATTATAAAACAGTATTGTCCTACATTTTCTAAAAAATTTTGCTTTTCCTACAGAAATCATGGTAACAAAGATTTTCATAGACCTTTGATCGACGGCACCTGTCAGTTTCTTGTTCTGTCTCTCAATGTCCTGTTTACTCTCGCTTGTTTTTCCAACTGTGAATTTTGTGTGACTAGAGTTCAGTTTGTGATTGACTATAAACTCTGTTTTATGTTTTCCTGTAGGGTCTTATACAGACATTTATTCCCCCAAGATTTTTTTAGCTCAGTTAAATTTTTGTTTCTATATGCATCTCTTTTAACTTGTCTTTATTGAACTCTATAAAATCACAAGCACACTGTCATCTTGTAAATTACATGTTTCTATTAAATAAGTAAAGCTACCAGAAAACAAACTTGCAATCAAAAATGAAATTTAATGCTTAAATCGTGTGTTACTTTGATTTACATTCAGGCACATATTTCTTTATCAGTGCACCTGTAAATCAACATTATGGAGACAGCTATCCAAGTATAAGAACAACTGAATATGTATAAACCAAATTGTGTTCACAAATATGTAGATCGAGGTAGTAAACACCTTTATCACCAGTTAAAAATCTGTCACTGATTATACATAGGGGAAAATGCAAGCATCAACTTTTTAGTAAATAGCTTAAGAACCTTGATAATATCAGTGGTTCAAGTAAAGTGTGCATTGCATACTGATAGTCTAGATAAAGTCTTTGATTACTGATACAGAGACTCACATGCAGAATATAAATTCATATGTGGTCGTATAAACTATATGTTGTAAACTCTGATGAACTATTAATGACATTTAAAAGACTGACAAATCAGTGACACATAATTGAGATTTTAGAATATCATCCAAGAGCATTGTCCTTTTTATTATTTCCTATTGGAAATTAAAAAATAGGGTTATCAGATAAAATATATTTTTAGTATACCTTTCAGAGACAAATACAGTATATTTTTTCTTCTGGGATAGCATTATCGTGGCATAACTGATTCTGGGTTGAAAGATTTTTGACAGACAACAGGCTTAAGTTAAGTCCACATCTACCTCTTCTGCATCATGCTAAGATCTATCTCAAGTACAGCCAGGTTCACCAGGCCACTTCTGCAAACCTGATGGTTCTTTTCACAAAGGACTTGGGCACCTCTGAGACAATGCCATGATTCCTCAACTCACAATGCTTAATCCCTTTATTTTCTCAAGGAAACATTAAGGAAACTTGTGTTTGTTTGTTTTGAGCTATTTTATTAGAAGACAACAGTTATCTATAATAGAGTATCCACATAAACTGAAGAATGTTCTCTTGTCCAAATTATAGAACATGTCATATATTTGAGTAAAGAGAATGGTAGAGAGAGATATACCTCCATTAACCGCGGTTACCTAAGGAAATGTGGAAGCATGAAGAGGGGGTTAGAAAGATTGATTGCTTCTTAATATATCATTTCATTGTTTTGCTTGTTAAAATTAGCATATTTAAAATTTTAATTAAATAATTAAGGAAATTGGATGAAAATAAGCACAGATAAAAATAAAAGAAGCAGGAAATTTTCTCCAGTCTGTGAATCTTCTATTACTAGAAAATTTTAAAAGAGTTGCAGAAACAAAGTGAAAAGTCTTTCACGAACAAAATATAGAAATGACTTCTAAGGGACCTTGCTAAGGTAGCAAGGTTAAGATAACTGGCATCTTTTGCTTATATTGGTTATATTTCTAAATTACAAAAATAATATATAAAATTCAAAATCACCCCTGCTAAAATAATAATTTTATGAAAGAAGACTAAAACCACACTCTACTTATCAATGTCAACTTGTCAATACCTCCTTGTTCTATTTTTCATTTGGAGATCTCAATCTATTCTAAAGAAAATCTCTCTTACTAATTAATATGACTGCCTGTCTCCAATAACATCCATACATATTATTATCTAAAGGTACAAAAGTGTTTTGTGTATTATTTCATAAATATGCTTTGAATATTATTATAAGTATAATATCAGAATTTTATATCTATGTATTTATATCTTTGGGGCCTGGTGCAATTGATAATGAGATTATTCTTTTCTCTTTTTTTGACCTTACCATCTTCAAACCAAAATGTTTCTGTATTAATTAAGAATGAGGGTAGGAAGAAATTATTTTTATTTCATGTGTTGTACTCTTGTCTTGCCTTGGATCACATATAATATTTATTTATCTAATCATTCCTTCTCTTTTCTGTGCTTTGGCACAAACAAAAAATTCCACAACAATTTTCTAAAAACACAATATAGCTTTCCTTTTATCCTGATGCACAACTTCCTAGATTATCAAGTATCACATATTGTAGTCGTTCTGTCCACCTAATCTGAGCCTGAGTCAACATAAGCCAGTTAGTGCTTGCCTTGTAGAAAATAAGCTTCAATATATAAAATACCCAATGGTAAGGAGGGAAGTTTCAATGTTAGTTTTTGATGGAAACCTTAAAGTTCAACTTCAATCAGCATCATGAAGTTGATTGACTTTTTGGTCAATCAACCCAATTTACAAGGTAAAGGGCTAAGATGGAAATATAAGAATAAAACTAAATAATCTAGAATCTAGAGCACATAAGATGTCAGAAGCATCTTTTCAGAAGTTTTGGAAGCAACTGAAGACATGATCGCCTGTCCAGGCATCACTGTACTTTGCACAGGCACAGAGACATAGATAATATCCTGAGGAAGCAGCCCCAAGATATATCAATCTTATCTTTCTAAAGTAAACAGGCATCCTTGTGTGTGCAATGTGGTCTGAAAGAGTGCAGAAGTATTCTATTCCTAAAACCTCACTTCCAACGTATATCCACCTGGCAATTTAACTATTGGTTCATTTCTTTTAATTAATCTTATTTGTTTTCAAATTATTTTGAAGAATTCTCTAAGAAACAATCGTAGACTGAGAAAATAACTACATGGTGAAATGGAAGGTACCTGGGACTAGTAGCCAAATTGATGGTGGTGACAGCCTGTCTGGAGTGGCTGCTGTGAGGATGCCAGCTACAGTGGAGGAGGCACAGTCAAGGTTGTGCCCTCTGTGGAGCAGGCGGGACCTGGGAACAGGTGAGAGCCCCACCCTCTAGCAGGAGTCCACACTCCCACACACAGCCACAGCTGCCTAGCCACAGCTCCAGACCCTGGCATCCCTGCACTTTCAGGGGCCCAGGAAGCCCCCTGCCCCACAGGCTTAAAAGTGCCTACTCCTGCTCCCTGGCTTCTCCCTGCTCCCGGTGCCCACTCTGGGGCAGAGCAAAGTTGTGGCCAAGCCTGGGCGCTGTTGCAACCCAATTGGGTGTGCACACACTCAAGGCAGTGCTGACACACCAGCCCCCTGCCAACTTGGCCCCATCTGGACTTTGGGCACTGACAAGCATGAGAGGAGGCTGGGGGTACTGAGGGTGGCTCAGCGAGGGCCTGTCGGCATCTCATGCCACAGACAGCCTGGGCGTCATGGATGACATGCTAATGGCAGACAGGTTCCTGGGTGGGAAGGGGCAGGACCCCAGTGAAACCTCTCTTTCAAGCCAGGAACAGCCTGAAGCCTGGGGACTTGACGGCCAATTCCCATTGATGTCTGCAGCCCAGAGTGAGAACTTCAATGATGACTGTTCAGCCAATCTAATGGTGTTTTTTCCAGGCCTGCCCATGGCTACCTACAGACCATTCAGCAGGCACCTTCTCCCTTCTGAGCCCATAAACACCCCAACCTCACGCACTTCTCTGGACGACCTTCCTGGGGATAGGAGGTACCCAGTCCAAGTCGCCTCTCTATTAAAGGGCTGCACTCATCAGGACTCCCTGCCTGCAGATAGGAGCTACGTACTCCAGGTCTCCTCTTCACAACATCTGGACACTCATCCGGATGGCATGCCTGTGATAAGGAACTACCCACTTCAGGTCTCCTGAGAGCTGTTATGTTGCTCAATAAAGCTCCTGTCTGCCTTGCTGTCCCTCCAGTTGTCCACATACCTCATTATTCCAGGACGTGGGACAAGATCTCGGAACCCACCGAATGGCAGGACTGAAACAGCTGTAACACAAACAAGCTAAAACATGTCCCCTCTGCTCACCACATTGCAAGTGATGAGGAGAGAAGAGCTGCAGCCCTTCGGGGAGCCCAGACCTAGGGATTCCCCAAGCCAGGGCTGTGAAACCTCTTTGGGGCTCTGAGGTTCCTAGCGTCTCCAACCCTCCAGGAACTGCTGCCTTCCCTTCGTCCAGATGCGGTTGCCCGCAGCAGAAGCCACTTATGGTACATCTAATCCAGCCACAGCCTTACATGGAGCTGGCAGTTGTCAGTGCCTGGAGCTGCCCACCCCACTGCAGTAGCTGGCACGCCTAGCTGTGCACAGTGACCAGACCCCATGCTCACTTGCTCACACATTCCTCGCTTCTCCGCACCTGGCTTTCCCTTGGCAGGCATGGGATCCGGCCAGTAGTGTGGCCTAGTGAAGCCTGCCAGGCTGAGTGGGTGGAATGAGAGCCCCGTGGGCTCAAGGAAAACTCAGGTAAAGGTGCCACTGGCCACAGAGGTTTTGGCTGGAAAAGCAACATCCTAAGGATACTGTGACATAATGACCTAAGTTCTTCAGAAAAAAGTTATATTTGATTATTTTGATAAAATGTAAAAATTCCTAGAAATATAAACCTATCAAAATATACTCAAGTTGAAAGAAAAATGATAATATCCCTAATCATTTAAAAATACATTTAAGAAGTTAAAAAATTACCTAACTGAAATTTATCAACCTCAGATCTTTTTATGAATGAGTTCAAGATATATTTAAGACTGAGAATTTTCCTCTCATATATAAATTCTTATATAGAATTTATAGAATATAGAAAGAACTCTTCTTTATGATAAAATGGGTCTATGATAACCTTGATAATTATGAACATTGATGCAAAAAATTCTTACGCAAAATATTATCAAAACAAATTGTTTAAAATACAATAAATAGTGGTGAAGTTAGATGTATCTCAGCTTTGTAAGTATCAAATTTAGTAAGGATGTGCCACAGTAATAAATTAAAAAGGAAATATCTCATCTTAAATATATGCATAGAAATATGACATACATCATTATAGCACTGATAGCCAATAAACATAAAAGAAATTCCTTCAACTGACAGAGGATACTCTACAAAAAAAAAACCACAGAAACAAAACACTGTAGCAAACATGTTTATAAATGATAAAATATTGGTGGCATGTTACAGTTCTTTCCTGTAAAATCAGAGACAGATAAACATATATGCTACAATGTTTCCTTGAATACATGTTTAGGAATCCTATTTAGCAAACAAAAAAAAAAGAAGGAAAAATAAAAGATAAAAATTAGAAAAAAGAAACTTATTTATAAATATTGGCTTTATCTTATTCTGTTTTCTTCCAAAATTCAGTGTTCATTTCATAACATATAATAAGTAACTCCTAAAAATTAATAATGAAAAGTCAAACAATCTGATTTTAAAAAGTGAGCAGAAGACATCGATAGGTCTTTAACAAAAATGAATTCCCCCAGAATGAGCAACAGCCCTAATAATCAGATCAATGCAAGTTAAATTCATTTTATACACACCAAAATGACTAAAAATAAATTTTATCAAAACTGTAAATACAAACATCGACAAAAAACATTTTTCAAAAAGAATGTGCTTATGTTTCTGGTTGGGGTATGAATTAGTACAACTGCTTAGAAAGTAATTTGGCATGATCAAGAAGACCTGATAGAATGGACTGTATGTGCACTATATCTAAAAATCTCCTTGCTGTCATTTCCATAGCTCCCTTTCTCTTTCTTTGACCACATCTCATAGCGTCTTGTTCTTACACTGGCCTTCATTTGGTTCCTTTGAAATTCTGTATTTATCACCGCAGATTATTTGTAGTTTCAGTTCCTTGCACCTTTGATTCCATTCCTTCAATCTGATTAAGGTTTATTTTAAAGAAATCAAGAGTCACTTCTTAGAGAAGTCTTCTCTAATATCCAAAATCGGAATAAAAGTCCAATAATCCACTATCCTTTTATCCTGTTTATTTTATCTTCTCTGAGTTTATACATTTTAGGTACTTATTATATACTCCCCTCTCCTGCCCACACACACACCCCTGCTGGAATTTCAGCTCCAAAGGTTTGTGAACATTTTCATTCACTGCTGCATCTCCAGGTTCCAGAATATCATACGGCATAGAGCAGACACTCAAAATATTTTTTTTTAATATTAAGTGAATTCACTCAGGTTGGAAATGAGGAATCTCTATTTTTTAAATGTCTCCACGACATTCTGGCAATGAGAATATTTAGAAACTAGTGACCAAAACAAAGTAATCTAATATCATCTGTCTCTTTGACTTTTAGAAAAGGTTCCCTATTGGAATAGACAGTGGCTGGGGAGGCCAATGAAACCTCCCTAAGCTGTCAATACCTCCTTGCGTCTTCCCCAGTGTAGTAGGTGAAAGAATCTTAGTCTAGTTATAGGGAGGCAAGTCTCAAGACCAAGAATCATTTCTATGCTTGCGTGTAAAATAAATACTTATTGGGGATGGGCAAATGAATAATCTAATGAACAAAAGCAGAAATCAGTTAGCTCAAGAGATTAATTTCCTTCTTCCACTTTAACAAAATTCTGACTTGTAATTGGCTCCTAAAAATAAAGTCATTTCCACTTGTTGTATACTACCAAGTTCATTTTAATTACCTATACTCGTTGGATGTGCTCTTCCTATTCTGTTTTATATGCTTGAAAAAATGAAGATATAACTGTAGGTAACTCAATTAAAAATATACTACTGTATTATACTTTGTAATATAATTTTCAACGTGTTTATCAAGTTTGAAGCAAAAGCTTTCTCTCTGAAGAAATACCCCATCCCCAGTCCACATATATCATTTATCATCACATTTCAGTCTGGTTTGTCAAAGGATTTGTATGGTTTACCAAACTTCAATTTAAATACTTCTTGTCTTAGCAAAATATTCTATATATTGCATATTTAATAAAGAAAACAGCAAAATTAGAAAACTGTCATTCTGTATGATACTGAAATCAATAAGAAGGTTAAAAGATTAGGATGTTTAGTTTTTCTTGGTGATTATCAGGTAATTAATAATTATAATGGCAATATAAATATTAATAATACATAAAATTTGTATAGTAACTGATATGGGACAAGTACTAAGGTTTACATGTTGAATTAACCTAAGCTTAACAACTACTGTATAGATAGGTATTATTATTTTCCCCATTTTACAAATGAGAATACTGCAGTACAGATTGGTTGAGCAATTTGCTTCAGGTCATGAAGCTAGAAAGAGATAAAGTCAGAATTCAAACCCAATGTTATACATCCAGGGCCTATGCTCATACCACTAGTTTATTTGTAGCAGATTATTATTTTTCACAAATATTCTCCTTTTAAATTGTAGAAATCAAAACACAATATCGGGTTTAAAAGTTGACATAAACTTTAAAAACAATACCTCTATACACACAGACAAACAAACATCATTTCCTAATTGTTTCAATAAAAAACTAACACTTTTTAAGTGGAGTCTATGTTTATCAGAGCTTGTATTAGATAAACATAATCACTCCACAGCAGAGCTTAATATTCAAACAAGGTTACATCCTGTGAGGTGCAGTGGAGGGAGAAGAAGTTTAAGAATATTTAAGACACTTTGGTTTCTGCTTCTGAGATTACAGAAATTACCATCAGCTATGAAGTGTGACTCATATCTGAGCAGTCAGTCCACACAGTATTTTTTATCTTTCAAACAAAATTCATTTATCAACACTAAATCAAAGTATATAACTATTTAAAACATTGTATTTTTTTCATTTCTATTTATTTGCTCTCCAACCTTAGACTTGAGAATGATGGTTATTGTTAAATAGAAGGTAAAATTATAAAGTCATAGCAAAAACAAGTGTTCTATAAGGAAACAGACTGCATTTCTAGTGGTAAGCAAATTAAAAAGAGTAGCCTGGCGCTGGACCACCATTCCTATGGGTGGGAAATAGGCTAACAAATGTTAGTTTTCTTTATATTCACTATACTTTATCATTTAGTTTCATTTGGTTCCCACAGGGAGAACTGACTGGTCAATGTCTTTCCTCACAATAATCATAGCACTGTTCTCTTCTGTCCTTAGCAATGCTATATTCAGTCATAGTATTGATGAATGAAGAAAAATTTTTTATTCTGTCCTTTTTTATGAAAAAATATGTTTCCCATATATAAATTATCAAAATATAAAGCAAGGGGGGGCCTAAATTTAATTATATTTAATGTGTTGTATAACTTTTTTCCTAATTTCTGTTAATACTTTCTATATGTATATTTATTAATATGTCTATTCACCTTATTCCCTCCCTTGCACACTGTCTGTAGAGGCAAGTGGAAATATTTTATCCCTGAAAACTACTTAGTCAATCCTCATTTTATTGAGGATCAACATACATGTCAATATATGTTAATATATGTTACATATACATACATATAACATACTTATAACAATATAACATATGTTCTGATATATAACATATACCAGAAGCTCATACATATAAATAAATGTATGAGCTTATAATTCTTATGATGAGCCAACCCTTCTACTTCTATCTATCTATCTATCTATCTATCTATCTATATATATATATATATATACACATAATATTTGAATACCCTATATTTCTTTCTTTTGCCTGATTGCCCTGGCCACTCCTACTGATCTTATAGTTGTCTAGGAGAATTAATTTCATTATGATTATATATATATACTTAAGTTCTGGGATACATGTGCAGAATGTGCAGGTTTGTTACATAGGTATGCATGTGCCATGGTGGTTTGCTGCACCTATCCACCTGTCATCTACATTAGGTATTTCTCTTAATGCTATCCCTCCCCTTGACCCCCACCTCTCGACAAGCCCCAGTGTGCGATGTTCCCCTCCCTGTGCCCATAAGTTCTCATTGTTCATCTCCCTTTTATGAGTGAGAACATGTAGTGCTTGGTTTTCTGTTCCCATGTTAGTTTGCTGAGAATGATGGTTTCCAGCTTCATCCACGTCCCTGCAAAGGACATGAACTCATTCTTTTTTATGGCTTCATAGTATTCTGTGATGTATATGTGCCACATTTTCTTTATCCAGTCTAACATTGATGGGCATTTACTCTGGTTCCAAACATCTGCTACTGTGAATAGTGCTGCAACAAACATATGTGTGCATGTATCTTTATAGCAGAATGATTTATAATCCCTTGGGTATGTACCTGGTAATGAGATTGCTGGGTCAAATGATATTTTTAGTTCTAGGACCTTGAGGAATTGCCACACTGTCTTCCACAATGGTTGAACTAATTTACACTCCCATCAACAGTGTAAAAGTGTTCCTATTTCTCCACATCCTCTCCAGCATTGGTTGTTTCCTGACTTTTTAATGACCGTCATACTTATTGTTGTGAGATGGTATCTCATTGTGGTTTTGACTTGCATTTCTCAAATGACCAGTGATGATGAGCTTTTTTAAATGTTTGTTGGCCACATAAATGTCTTTTGAAAAGTGTCTGTTCATTTCCTTTGCCAACTTTTTGATGGGGTTGTTTGCTTTTTTCTTGTAAATTTGTTTAAGTTCCTTGTAGATTCTGGATATTAGCCCTTTGTCAGATGGATAGATTGCAAAACTTTTCTCCCATTCTGTGGGTTGCCTGTTCACTCTGATGGTAGTTTCTTTTGCAGTGCAGAAGCTCTTTAGTTTAATTGGATCCCATTTGTCAATTTTGGCTTTTGTTGCAATTGCTTTTGGTGTTTTGGTTGTGAAGTCTTTGCCCATGCCTGTGTCCTGAATGGTATTGCCTAGGTTTTCTTCTAGGATTTTTATGGTTTTAGATCTTACATTTAAATCTTTAATCCATCTGGAGTTAATTTTTGTAAAAGGTGTAAGGAAGGGGTCCAGTTTCAGTTTTCTGCATATGGCTAGCCAGTTTTCCACGTATGGCTAGACAGTTTTCCCAGCATCATTTATTAAATAAGGAATCCTTACCCCATTGCTTGTTTTTGTCAGCTTTGTCAAAGATCAGATGGTTGCAGATGTGTGGTATTATTTCTGAGGCCTCTGTTTTGTCCAATTGGTCTATATATCGGTTTGGGTACCAGTACCATGCTGTTTTGGTTACTGCAGCCTTGTAGTATAGTTTAAAGTCAGGTAGCCCAATGCCTCCAGCTTTCTTCTTTTTGCTTAGGATTGTCTTGGCTATACAGGCTCTTTTTTGGTTCCATATGAAATTTAAAGTAGTTTTTTCTAATTCTGTGAAGAAAGTCAATGGTGGCTTGATGGAATAGCATTGAATCTATAAATTACTTTGGGCAGTATGGCCATTTTCATGGTATTGAATGTTCCTGTCCCTGAGCATGGAATGTTTTTCTATTTGTTTGTGTCCTCTTCTATTTCCTTGAGTAGTGGTTTGTAGTTCTACTTGAAAAGATCCTTCACATCCCTTGTATGTTGTATTCCTAGGTATTTTATTCTCTTTGTAGCAATTGTGAATGGGAATTCACTCATGATTTGGCTCTCTGTTTGTCTATTTTTGGTGTATAGGAATGCTTGTGATATTTGCACATTGATTTTGTATCCTGATACTTTGCTGAAGTTGCTTATTAGCTTAAGGAGTTTTGGGGCTGAGACAATGGGGTTTTCTAAATATATGTCATGTGCAAACAGAGATAATTTGACTTCCTTTCTTCCTATTTGAATACCCTTTATTTCTTTCTCTTGACTGATTGCTCTGGCCACTACTACTGATCTTATAGTTGTCTAGGAGAATTAATTTCATTATGATTTTCATTTTGTTTTGTCACATCACTTCCACAGAATTGTGTAACTTAAGGACAAGAATCATATCTTATCTACTTTCTCTCACTTTAAATGTCCATCACAATGTTTCGCATCTAACAAGCACAAAGCAAGTGAATAAAGTCAGTATTAAAAGAATGAGTAGAAGTTGTTTAAGCAATCTACAAAATTGTCCTTTTAAAAGCACACTAAAACTTTCTGATGTCTATCTCTTGCTTTCCTTTCTGTGCAATTTTATCTTTCTGTGTAATTTCTGCCTTTAGCAGAATCTCTATTCCCTATTTTAATTATCTGTTAAACTCAGATTCAAACTCCTTTTACTACTAACAAAATCTGCTAGGAATAATCAAATATATCCATCCCCGCTTGAGAAGTAAAAGACCAATAAGCATTAGAAAATAAAAATGAATGAAAATAATTAAGAAAGAATATCAAGGTAGGATAGCACAGTAATTAAGAGTTAAAATGGCTTTTATGTCTTTTATAGCAAAGTACAAGCTAAGTAACTTCGGACATGTTTGCTAACCTTTCTAACTCTCAGTTTTTAAATATGAAAAAGAAATATTAGTTATTTCATAGAATCATTTTGAGGGTAAAACACCAAATGTAACCACCACAAGGCTTGCCACATTATAGGCATTCAGTTACTGTTATTTACTATTAATATTTTTGATTATTATATCAGTGATTGTGACATACAAATTACCAGTAGCTATGGGTAATAATAAACCAATAAGTTGATCGATACAATGATATATTGGTAACATAAATTTTAATAATGTAGTAATCACTACCGAAAACAACAAGTATGTAATATAAATGGAAAGACAAAAGATAAATGAATCCTTCTTCAAATATATGTACCTGAACATTGCTAAATGGGTGGGAAGAAGGTATCTCTTCTGCCTGCCATCCAATATGAAACAACAGGAAATAACTGTGCTTTCATCCATATAAATATTGTGAAAATTTAGACTTGATAACATTTATAGAAACTGAAATACATAAAATTAAATTGGTGATAAAAATGATCTTGATCTTTAACATATATTTTTTCACTTAATTAGCTCCAGTATTTGAGGAAGACTGCGCAGACTGCTTGCTGAGTTCTCCGTTATTTATATTTTTTGTTATTGTTGTAAGAACATTTAATAAGAGATCTAGTCTCTTAACGAATTTTTAATGTACCTTTAACTACAGGTACAATGTTATACAACAGATCTCCAGAGAATGTACATCTTGCCTGATTGGAACTTTATGTCTGTTATTATCAGGGTTCTCCAGGCAAACAGAACCAATAGGATATATATAGATATATGTCAGGAGATTTATTATGGAAATTGGCTCATGTGATTATGGAGAACAGGAAGTCCCACAATATGCCGTTTGAAAGCTATAGTCCTAGGAAAGCAAGTGATGTAATTTAGTCTGAGTCCTAAGCCCTAGGAACCAGGGTAGCCAATGGTGTAACTCTCAGCCTAAGGCCAAAGGCCTAAGAAGAAAGCAGGGCACTGTTAAAAGCCAGAGAGTCTAAAGTCCCTTGAACCAGGAACAGAAATTCCAATGTCCAAAGACAGGAGGGGATGGATGTCCCATCCCAATAGAAGGTGAGAATTCACTCTTCCTCTGCCTTTCTGTCCTATGTGGACCCTCAAAAATTTGGATGATGCCACCCACATTGGTGACAATGGATCTTCTTTACTTAGTCTACTGATTCAAATGTTAAAGTCTCCAGAAACCTCCTCTCAGATTCACCCAGAAATAATTATTTACCAGCTATCGTAACATTCTTAACCCAGTGAAGTTGACACATGGAATTAACCACCACGATTACTAACTCCCTGTTTTCCTTTTTCCTCAGCATCTGACAACCACCATTCTACTCTTTGATTCTATGAAATTAACTTTTTCAGATGCCTCATATAAATAAAATCCTGAAGTACTGGTCTTTTTATGATTGGCTTATTTCACTTGCATAATGTCTTCAAAGTTCCTCCATGCTGCCATATATTGCAGAATTCCCTTCTTTTGTAAGGTTGTACAGTATTCCATTGTGTGTGTGTGTGTGTATATATATATATATCTCACATTTTCTTGAGCTGTTCATCTGTTGATGGACATTTTGGTTGTTTCCATATCTTGGCTATTGTGAATAATGCTGCAACAAATATAGAAGTGCTAATATCTCTTTGATATCCTGATCTCAATATTTTCTTGACAAATACCCAGAAATAGAATTGCTGGATCATATGATAATTCTATTTTTAAGTTTTTGAGCATCATCTATATTGTTTTCCACAGCAGTTTTTGCATTCCCACCAACAGTACACAAAGATTCCAAATCTACCTCTATCCTCACTGACACTTGCTGTCTTTTGTAAAAATGACAATCATCCTAACAGTTGTGAGGTGATAGCTCATGATTTTAATTTGCATTTACCTGATGATTTGTGATATTGAGCATGTTTCCATATATGTGTTGGACATTTGTATATCTTCTTTGGAGAAGTGTCTATTCAGATATTTAGCTCATTTTTTATTTTGGTTATTAGGGTTTTGTTGGTTTTTTTACTATGGAGTTGTAGAAGTTTCTTATATATTTTGGAAGTTAATCTTTGGAAGATATATGGGTTGCAAATATTTTCTCTCATTCCACAGTTAGCCTTTTCACTCGGTTGATTGTTTTCCTTGCTCTGCAGAAGCTTTTTATTTTTATGTAGTCTCACTTGTTTATTTTTGTTTTTGTTGTCTGTGGCTTTGATGTCATATCCATAAAATCATTGTCAAGAACAATGTCATAGAGGTTCCTCCTATGTGTTCTTCTAGCAGTTTTATAGTTTGCAGTCTTATGTTTAAGTTTTTAATCCATTTTGAGTTGCTTTTGTGTATGTGCTGTAAGTTGAGTCCAGTAAATTTATTTTATAGCCACTAACAATCTAAATAGCAATTCGTGAGAATATGCTTAAAGTAGGCATGGTTCTCATAAATATTATTTAAAAGAATTTTATGAAGATTATTTTTTACGACTTACTCAGTTTTTTTCCAAAGAATAAAGCATTTAGTGATGATTTCAGGTTTTCTTAGTTCAGGATTGTTCTGGAGATCTGAAGCAAAAATATTTTTAAATGATAATATAAATGTTGAGCCTTTTGAAACAGATACTTTCATCTTTGTTGCTAATTTTTGCCCATCCTATGGAAATAAAATTATTTTTGCCATCAAAGGAAAGAGAGAGATTCTAATTTCAAGTGTGAGCCATGTGTGCTGAAAATAAACAAAAAGTGTTAAGAATTTTTGTTTAATTAAAGCTCAAAATTATGTCCTGTGTACCTAATCAGTGATCATTTAGCTTGTTGCAGTGCTTCTTATTTCTCTCTATATTAGTTCACACTTCCCAAATCAATCTCAGTTGTTTATTTATCAATGACCTGTTGTCAGAATATTACCTTGCAAACTAAGGCAATAAATAAACGACCATTCACTTTACCCGGCTCCTTTCTTCCTACACACTTCCCTTACCCTTCAATCTTCTAAAGATTTAAGTAATTAATTGAATTAAATGAACTCTTGAATACTGGTTTTCTATTATATAATTTTATTTTCTTGGACTTAGATAAAGTACCACTCAGGTACAAAATTGTGGCAAATCCTTGAGATTGGTTTGATACACAATGACTAGAGGCAAAGTGAAAGGGCTGTCTTTCTCTAATGATAGACTGCAGATACTTCAAAAAGATGTTTATTTCCAAGAGGCAGTCTTCTGTGTGCAAGTTATTATCAGCCCAGAATTCAATTTATTACAGATTGAAATACAAGAACAGTTTGGTATTCTCATAATTAATGTGACTTAAAAACTGACAAAGTTTGGTTTGAAGGGATCTTTTTTTATCGAAAGCAATAAAAAGATTCTAAAGAAGCACGATGATAAAGCAAGTATTTTGGCCAATATTTTATGCAAGTGGTATTATTGTTATACATTTTAATTTTTAGGTTAAGATAAATATTAAGATTCAAGAAGAAATTAATGACACCTTAATAATCACAAAATACATGATTTGGCTCTCTGCTTGCCTATTGTTGGTGTAAAGGAATGCTTGTGATTTTTGCACGTTGATTTTGTATCCTGAGACTGCTAAAGTTGCTCATCAGTTTAACTAGTTTTTGGGCTGAGATGATGGGGTTTTCTAAATATAAAATCATGTTGTCTGCAAACAGAGACAATTTGACCTCCTTTCTTCCTATTTAAATACGCTTTATTTCCTTCTCTGGCCTGATTACCCTGGCCACAACTTCCAATACCATGTTGAATAGGAGTGGTGAGAGAGGGCACCCTTGTCTTGTACCGGTTTTCAGGGAATGCTTCCAGCTTTTGCCTATTAAATATGAGATTGGCTGTGGGTTTGTCATAAGTAACTCATCATTTTTAGATATGTTCCATCAATACCTAGTTTATTGAGAGCTTTTAACATGAAGGGATATTGAATTTTATCAAAGGCCTTTTCTGCATTTATTGAGATAATCATATGATTTTTGTCTTTGGTTCTGTTTATGTGATGGATTACGTTTATTGATTTGCATATGTTGAACCAGCCTTGCATCCCAGGGATGAAGCTGACTTGATCGTGGTGGGAAAGCTTTTTGATGTGCTGCTGGATTTGGTTTTGCCAGTATTTTATTGAGGATTTTCGCATCAATGTTCATCAGGATATTGTCCTGAAGTTTTTGTTGTTGTTGTTGTGTTTCTTCTCGGTTTTGTTATCAGGATGGTGCTGGCTTCATAAAATGAGTTTTCAGTTGTTTGGAATAGTTTCAGAAGGAATGATACCAGCTCCTTTTTGTGTTTCTGGTAAAATTCAGCTTTGAATCCATCTGGTCCTGGGCCTTTTTTTTTTTCTTTTGGTTTTTTTATTTATTTTTTTTTTTTCCCAAATAGTCTATTAATTACTGCCTCAATTTTAGAGCTTGTTATTGGTCTATTCAGGGATTCAACTTCTCCCTGGTCTAGTCTTGGGATGGTGTATGTGTCCAGGAATTTATCCATTTCTTCTAGATTAACTAATTTATTTTCATAGAGGTGTTTATAGTATTCTCTGATGGTAGTTTGTATTTCAGTGGGGTCAGTGGTGATCTCTCCTTTATCATTTTTTAATGTGTCTGTTTGATTCGTCTCTCTTTTCTTCTTTATTGGTCTAGCTAGTGGTCTATCTATTCTGTTAACTTTTTCAAAAAACCAGCTTCTGGACTCATTGATTTTTTGGAGGTTTTTTCATGTCTCTCTCTCCTTCAGTTCTTCTCTCATCCTCAGCAAACTAACACAAGAACAGAAAACCAAACACCGTATGTTTTCACTCATAAGTGGGAGTTGAACAATGAGAACACATGGCTACAGACAGGGGAACAACACACACCAGGCCTGTTGTGGGGTGAGGGGTGAAGGGAGGGAACTTAGAGGAAGGGTGAATAGGTGCAGCAAACTACCTTGGCACACGTATACCTATGTAACAAACCTCCACATACTGCACATGTATCCTGTTTTTTGTTTTTCTTTTTTTTTTTTTAGAAGAAATAAAGAAAAAAAAAGAATCACAAAATATACAAAGCAATTGTAGATTGTAGGAATGGCAGTATCTGGAAAGAAATATCTGGGCCCCATGGTCGGTTGTGTCCAGGCCACTGTGCAGGTCTGAGTATTAAGATATGGTAGGTACTTAAATAATAGCCTTACTCAATAGGTCTGCATGTTAGACTATATCTCCCACCTACATTCTCCCAGGTTTTCTCTTACATGGGTATACATGACATCTGTCTAGAGAAATTTTCAAAAATAAGGGCAGTAACCAGAGGTTGTAAGGATTAGAAAGTCTGTCGATAGAGAAGATATGAGAGGGTCAGAAGTGATTTTCATAAGCGAAAGAAAATATGTTCTTTTCTAAAAGTAGAAGGATTTTGTATATAATCCTGGTTTTTCTAGGAGAAAGATAACTCCACAGAGCTCTGGTAATTGATAAATACAGAGTATCTTCAGATTTCTACAAAAGGGAAAGAGATCAGATTTATCAGAAACCAGTACAAAGGCATCATTCTAAGCAGAGGAACTTATCTTCTCAGCCAGTCTCAGTAAAAACATGATTCACAAGACAACAATACGGTGGTACTTGGCAGAAAGAGGTAAAAGGAGATTGCCAGCTTGGTAGGAGCAACTAGGTTGATGTTAAACATTATTTTTATTAAACATAATTATTTAATACTCTGCCAGTAAAACCTGTAAGAAATGTTCATGAAATAAGATACTAACTTGTTTAGTGTAAAACAGTTTACTCAGATAAAAAATACACTGAGGAAATTAATATACTTAAAAAATAAGGCTCACTTACTTCAATTTGTCATTTAAGAAAAGTATTTTTTTTTTTATTTTTATTTTTTTATTTTTATTTTTTTTTGAGACGGAGTCTCGCTCTGTCGCCCAGGCCGGACTGCGGACTGCAGTGGCGCAATCTCGGCTCACTGCAAGCTCCGCTTCCCGGGTTCACGCCATTCTCCTGCCTCAGCCTCCCGAGTAGCTGGGACTACAGGCGCCCGCCACCGCGCCTGGCTAATTTTTTGTATTTTTAGTAGAGACGGGGTTTCACCTTGTTAGCCAGGATGGTCTCGATCTCCTGACCTCATGATCCACCCGCCTCGGCCTCCCAAAGTGCTGGGATTACAGGCATGAGCCACCGCGCCTGGCCAAGTATTTTTAATTCAAATCAGAAACTTTTTTCCCAAAATATTTTGAATTTTTTTTAAATAGGTATTCCAAGGAACCTCATCCACAAGATATTTTACCCAAATTCAGGGTTTGTGGTCAAATCAATTTTGAAAAGATGCACACTAGATTTCTTCACTTGGATATTTGCCACAATTATAACGTATTGTTTCTATAATTAATAAATACAATTAATCTAACATTTTCCATGGCTCTTTAAACATGAAACCCTCTCCTTTTTTCTTTAATCATAAACATCTACTGGAATCTCTGAGAACCAGTGTACCACAGAATATATTTTGGAAAATGCTGTTATAGAATAGAATAAAAATATTTTTAATCTATGAAGTATGATGAGGTTACTTAATTATGTTATTTTTAAGGTTTGATTATCAATTGGAAAATAAAATTAAACTCCAGAAGGCAGTTTTTGTTTAGTTAATGATTCTTTGAGAAAAGAAAAATTTTATATAGAAAATAATCACACATGCTTTCCTTGAGATCAAGTTAAACTTATGCTAATACACTCTTAATTTTCTTGTGCCAAATATTGTCCTCATCTTTATCACTGTTTTATGACATTTTTGTGTAATTATCGATTAGCTAAATTCTCATGCTTAACATACCACTTGATTAAACTTAGTGAACAGTTTATATTGATTTCACTTAGAATAGTTTTTATTCTGTTTTATCTTACTTCTCTTTGTATTCTTGATTTATTTCTGCACCTTAGATACCTTGGTTGTAAGAGCTTAATTATCCACCCCGAGAAGAGAAATAGCATGGGTCACTGAACCCCAAAACAGCACAAAATAATCATATTGTTTTGATAAACCTCCTTCAATATGAGTTGTTTCTTAGTAGAACTTTTAACAGGTAGACGTGTGAGTTTTACACCTCCCACTGGAAGAGCAATTTAATGAAAATAAGCAACATAAAATTGTTAGATTCCTGTGTAAACCACAAATCTGATCATAGTTCAAAAATAGGAAAAAATGAACAAAATCTTTTAAATTGTTTGGGTCTCAATATTCAGAATTCTCTATTTATAGTGAGAAATTATGCCATTTTGCTTTCACTTTTAAGAACTGCAGGAGAAGAGTACTGAAAGAATATAAATTGATATTCAGTTAACCTATCCATAGAGCCAGCTCCTTTAATTGGAAATATTCATTTGATATGTGTGCAATAACCATGGGTAGCCTGAATGTATTTCAGGAGCTACAGCTACTTATTAAGTACATGGAGTTCTGCCAATCTACCCTGTTTGAAATGTAGGTTATAATTAAAATGTAATCACGAAGTTTCTTTGGAATTTCTACTTAAGCTTAAGAATCAGAATTGAGCAAAATCACGTTAAGAGGTACTTATATAACAGTAGGAAAGATCTGTCTTCCTTTTGAACTAGGCTTTTACTTTTTCTTTGATTCTTTTTATTAACTAAAAAGATGGGAGATGAAGATGAATGGACTATATCCACAGGGTTTCATGACTTATTTAAAACATGGATGTTACTTACGTTCATTTTCAAGCACTTTTCTATGAAGGTTCTCCCTTGTAAAAATTAATGAATACCCCTTTAACCTAATTTACATTAATTATGAAAGACATTTAGCCACCGAGAGTGCTAGAGTAATGCATTTGCAGTTCTTGGGAATTAGTTTGAGAAAAACTTTAAAAATATTTAACATTTCAAGTTCTTTGAGCAAGTCAGCTTTTCAAAACATCTAAATAAAATAATATGGAAATGATTACTAGGTTAATTTCTATAAGTATGTAACCAGATACAAGATTAACTTTTAATCCAAGTAATAGCAATGTTGTGCATCCTGAATCTTGAGGAAAAAACTTTGTGAAGTTTCCCGTCTTAATTTAAGGAAACATATTCACTAAGAGAATACGATTCTATTTATTTTATACGAAAGGTCTTCTCTACATTACTGGGATTATTATATTTATCACCATCAAATTTATAGTCATTGACCAAGATGCACTAACTGGAATTGGATTTTTCCTCCCACTTTTAAAAACCAGAAAAACAGAATATATATGTATAAAAAACACTGGCATATGTATTGCTGTAATATATGATAATATATAATATATTATATGTAATACATATATTAGAATATATGATAGTATATTATATAATATAATACGCTATATAAAATATAATATGATAGATAATATATAATATATTATATAATATAATGTTATATAAAATATAATAATATATATTATAATAATACATATATATACAAAACAATGTTTATCAGGCAGCATAGGGCTGATTCCTTGAGAGAAGGAAATGAACAAGATGAGCCATATGATTGTACTTGCTTACTGCTGGTAATGAAGGCAATGTTTAGGCTGAAGCTCTGGGTGGTAAAAATACAATAGAGCCAAATGGTCAAGCTAAATTGAAAAGACAGAAACTATTAATACACAGTTAGGGGATGGAGCCAGTTGATTACCCCATATAAACAGCTCCCTTGGTAGCCTTTACCAAGATGGTTATTAGAATTAGTGATAAAATGGAAGTTTGTCAGCTTCCGTGTGTGGCTGAATAATTGTATTTGGGATTAACATAAGATTCACAATTCGTAACTACTGTCACACAAATGGGAACTTCACAGGATAAGCCAATGTTCAATCTTTGGAACTGGATTAAAGGAAGAGTACTATATATATATATATGGAAAAGGGGGGTTGTGTCACCCTGCTTTTCATCTGAAATGGGTGCTTCCACTGAGACAACAGAAATGTTGCCATTGCAAGTGATCTTAGATGTCTGGTATTTTCTTAAATGAGTGGACCAGCTGTAGGTCTGTGACCGTGCAACTGTCAAGTAAAAGACCCTGAATTATAAAAAGTCTTCCTTTTATCTATTGGCTATTTAGAATACTAGCCAAATGAACTGCCCTTGCCAAATCCAATATTTTACTATTGAATCAGTGTGGGTAATACAGGCTTTAAAACCCCTGTAAGGATCACTAGGTGGTTGGAGAATATAGAAAGATAAGAATGCTGCAGGTAGGTCTTCCTTTCTGTCCTATTTAGAATATGTAGATGAGAATACAATCTTGAGTGACCTAGAGATGGTTCTTTTTGATTTGGGTTAATTAGCATATTTGCAGAGGCTCTTAGATCTCATTCCAGCCAAATAAATTAAACTGGTATTTATGGGATGACTATCATTCTAAGAAAAATATTAAAATGACTTAGCCAAAAGAAAAGATTGAGACAGAATGGAAGAGGACATGCAGGAATCAAAGTCTCTTTCCTTTCACAGAACTCTCCTCCTCCTTTCTTACTGTGCCTGCTCCCTCTCTTCCCCTGCATGTCTTTATTCCTCCTTACCTGAAACTGACTTTGGTGAAGGGAGAGGTGATGATCTTTCAAACAGGTGGTTTCCTTCAATAGTGAATTTCTCTATAAGGGTGAGGGGGGGGAGGGCGGTGAAGGCACAACTCTTTTATCTGATATTGAATTACCTGCCCCGTTTGAAGATATAAGTTTGTGTGCCTTGTGGGCCAGTCCTAGTCCACTTCATAACTTAGCCCAGATTCCACCACCAAGAACTCTTTTTGTCATTTTCACACCCTGTAGTTAAGAAACTAGACATGTCCTTTGCCCACTTCTTAACAGGGTTGTTTTGTTGCATATTTGTTTGAGTTCCTTGTAGACTCTGTATATTCGACCTTTGTCAGATGGATACATTGCAAAAATTTTCTCCCATTCTGTAGTTTATCTATTCACTCTGATGATAGCTTATTTGGTTGTGCAGAAGCTCTTTAATTTAATTAGATCCCATTTGTCCATTTTTGCTTTTGTTGCAATTGTTTTTGGTGTTTTCATCATGAAATCTTTGCCCATGCCTATGTCCTGAATGGTATTGCCCAGATTTTCTTCTAGGGTTTTTATTGTTTTGGGTTTTAAATTTAAGTCTTTAATCCATCTTAATTTTTGTATAAGGTATAAGGAAGAGGTCCAGTTTCAATTTTCTGAATATGGCTAGCCAGTTCTTCCAGCACCATTTATTAAATAGGGGATCCTTTCCTCATTGTTTATTTTTCTCAGGTTTGTCAAAGACCACATGGTTGTAGATGTGTGGTCTTATTTCTGAGTTCTCTATTCTGTTCCGTTAGTCTATGTATCACTTCGCAAAAGAAGATATTCATGCAGTCAATGAATATATGAAAAAAAGCTCAAAATCACTGATCATTAGAGAAATGCAAATCAAAACCATGAGATACCATCTCATACCAGTCAGAATGGCGATTATTAAAGTCAAGAAACAACAGACGCTGGAGAGGATGTGGAGAAATAGGAATATCTTTACACTGTTGGTGGGAGTGTAAATTAATTCAACCATTGTGGAAAATGGTGTGGCAATTCTTCAAAGATCTAGAAGCAGAAATACCATTAGACCCAGCAATCCCATTGCTGGTTACATACACAGAGGATTATAAATCATTCTTTTATAAAGATCCATGCATGCGTATATTCATTGCAGCACTATTCATAATAGCAAAGACAGGGAAACAACCCAAATGCCCATCAATGATAGACTGGATAAAGAAAATGTACTACATATACACCGTGGAATACTATGCAGCCATGAAAAGGAATGAGATCATGTACTTTGCAAGGGACATGGATGGAGCTGGAAGCCATTATCTTAAGCAAACTAATGCAGGAACAGAAACCCAAACACTATCTTCTCACTTGTAAGGGGAAGCTGAATAATGAGAATACATGGACACTTGGTGGGAAACAACACACACTGGGGCCTTGGAGGGGGTGGGGGAAGGGAGAGCATCAGGAAGAATAGCTAACAGGTGCTGGGCTTAATACCTAAGTGATGGGTTGATGTGTGCAGCAAACCACCATGGCACACGCTTACCTACGTAAAAAACCTGCACATTCTGCATATGTACCCAGGAACTTAAAAGTTGAAAAAACAAACAAACAAAAAGTAACCAGACATAATAAAGAGACCTAACCAGAAAATAATTGAGAACTTAGAGGAAAGATTGTGTCTCTGTGTGAAGGCAACAGGATGGAGAGTAAATGCAGTCGTCACTTGGAAAAAGGCAAACAAGGTGTTAAGCTGATGAATGTTAACAAGAGAAGAGAAACAAAGTGCCGCATTACTTACATTGTTCTTGTTTCAATGTGAGAAAAACTAGCCCTTCTTATTTGGATTGCCCGCAAAGCTAATGCCATTGAGAAGCTACTCAGAACTTAGTCATCCACATCCCTTCCTTGCCAGCTGGTATTACTCACTTAAAGTCTTCTTTTCCCAGTGCTCCAGAAATTTGCAGAAGTATTCCAAAGTTTCTTTTTGCTTTACAGCCCCACACATGGAGATGCAGACCAGCTGTTACATAGATGTCTGTGACCAGCAGGCTTTGCTCCTTTGATCAAGCAAGCACATCAGGGTTCAGAAAATCATCACATCAAGGAAAACCATGGTCAAAAGAAGACGACTATCCTGTACCTTCCACAACTATGGAAGAACCCATATTCATTTTTTATAATAACAAAGCAAAAGTTACTAATATGCACCCAGGAATTCAAGCCCAAATTTAAAACAAAAAATGATTAGAAAAATGATTTAGAAAAGAAAAAGCATATAATTAAGAGACAAGCAGAAATCTGTTATTTACAGATAAACAAAAGTATATGCCTATTGTTCATGGTGATTTTGTGGCCGGAATTGGTTCCTTCCAGTGGGTTCTTGGTCTTGCCGACTTCAAGAATGAAGCCGCGGACCCTCGCAGTGAGTGTTACAATTCTTAAAGATGCTGTGGGCCGGGTGCGGTGGCTCACGCCTGTAATCCCAGCACTTTGGGAGGCCGAGGTGGGCGGATCACGAGGTCAGGAGATCGAGACCAAGGTGAAACCCCGTCTCTACTAAAAATACAAAAAGTTAGCCGGTCGTAGTGGCGGGCGCCTGTAGTCCCAGCTACTCGGGAGGCTGAGGCAGGAGAATGGCGTGAACCTGGGAGGCGGAGCTTGCAGTGAGCCAAGATCGCGCCACTGCACTCCAGCCTGGGTGACAGAGCGAGACTCCGTCTCAAAAAAAAAAAAAAAAAAAAAGATGCTGTGTCTGGAGTTTGTTCCTTCAGATGTTCGGATGTGTCCAGAGTTTCCTCCTTCTGGTGGGTTCGTGGTCTTGCTGACTTCAGGAGTGAAGCCACAGACCTTCGCAGTGAGTGTTACAACTCATAAAGGTGGTGCATCCAGAGTTGTTCACTCCTCCTGGTGGGTTCATGGTCTCACTGGCTTCAGAAGTGAAGGTGCAGACCTTCGCGGTGAGTGTTACAGCTCACAAAGGTAGTGTGGGCCTGAAGAGTGAGCAGCAGCAAGATTTATTGCAAAGAGTGAAAGAACAAAGCTTCCACAGTGTGGAAGTGGACCCCAGTGGGTTGCCGCTGCTGGCTTGGGTGGCCAGCTTTTATTTGCTTATTTGGCCCCACCCACATCCTGCTGATTGGTCCATTTTACAGAGCACTGATAGGTCCATTTTTACAGAGTGCTGATTGGTGCATTTACAAACCTTTAGCTAGACACAGAGTGCTGATTTGTGCGTTTACAATCCTTTAGCTAGACAGAAAAGTTCTCCAAGTCCCCACCCAACCCAGAAGCCCAGCTGGCTTCACCTCTCAATTTAGTTGACTGTTATAATAGTGTTATCGTACAAATGTTGATATATACCCAATGTGAAAAAAGGCCCATAGTGTGTGTTTGTCTTCAAGACTTAAAATAATTAGTCATATAAACACTGGAAATTCAATTTGTAACTTTTAATGAAGGCCTCATAATCAAACTTTGCTACTAGATGATGGCTATTATTTTTTCCTAGTGTGAAACACATGGAAAAGTTAATAGGATACATAGGGCATCCTACTGGAAAGATAGAATAATTACTAAAGGGCCTAAATGCTTATATAAATGTGATGGTACTTATGTGAGTGACTTAAAACTGAGGATAAATGTATTTGACTTGCAAAGAAAACTCAAATAAAAATTTAGATTATCAGGCTTTAGAGTTAAGCTACTCCTTAGGTTTGCATTGCATAAGGCTTTAAAAGGGACAAACAAATAATACTTAAATAGTTAAGAACTTGAAAATGTAAACCATAAAGACATAACAACAATTTGTAAAAATAATGTAAGAGTAAGGAAAAGTTGAAGTATTGCTAATCAAGAATCTGATTCAACTATTCACCATTGGCATAATATAATCAAAGGTTATTTATTACCCCCAAGGCAAATAAAGTACTGACTTAAAAAAATATAATTATGTTATTCTGCAGTAATTCTAAAAATTGTTTAGCTATGAAGTTTGCTTTGCTATGGACTTCCTGGATATTTAGACAGCTGCAACTTGCCCAGAGAAGGGTAGAACCAGCAATAGAAAAAATTAGAAAATAGTATTTTCTAAATACTATAAAATAGTATAAGATAGTATTTTCTAAATACTATTTTATAGTAATGCATGGAAGAGATTGTAAGAATAAATACAAATTGAAAATAAGAGGCTTAATCCTCCGTTTTGAAAATAGGAAAGAGACTCTCCCTCACCCCTCCCTTTTCTTAAAATGTTACCTTTAGAAAATTCATAAGTTCTTTTTCTTTCTCTTAGAAATGTATGTAAATCTTTTTTAAAACCAAAGAAGCCTCTCCACAGTCCAAAAATGTAGTAGTGATCACTTTGAAATATATTCATCAAGAAAGATAAGCACCCTTATTTTCCAGTTCCTATGAATGGGTAGAAACTTAACTTCAGTGAAAGCCTAGCTTTAAGTTTTGAAACTACCTCCTGTGATGAAGATAAGAGAATATTATTTTTCTTTTAGAAAAAGCTTATTAGCTAACACAGACGGTCACCTCAGTCATGGAGTGGAGTGAATTTAGGATGAACTACGTCTGATTAATGTTGTCAAGTCCTCTTACCTGTGGACTAGTTTTTGTTTATCCTGAGAATATGTATGCAATGGTTGCATCTGCTTGGCTATATAAAAGGAGAAATCTATATCTTTGCAATTTCTTAACAAATTGCCTGTGACATCATTCAGATTCTAGCTTAATGGTTATTCAATAGCAAAATTGCTTTCTTTCTATTCTACCTTTATGCCAATGTTTTCTGGGTTGGAAGGATATTTTGTTTTTAATTATATTGTCCCAAACCTTCCAATATTTGGATATTAAATAAGTCATTTCTAAACAATCCATGAGTGAAAGATTAAATTACCAGGGAAATTAAAAAGGAATCCAATTTAATAAAAAAAAATTACATAATAAAGTTTGTAACATACAGCTAAAATAGTGCTTAGAGTGAAATTTATACTTTAAATGCCTGTATCCTAACAGAAAAAAGTTTGAAGTTAATGATCTAAGTTGCCACCTTAAGAATCCAAAAAAAGATTAAAAAAAAAAAAAAAGAGTTAACTGGAAAGTGAGAGGAAGGAAAGAAGTAATGAAATGCAAAACAAAGAGGGAGAAAGAAAATCAATGATTTTGAAAAGGGAATGCTAGCTAAAAATAATAAAGCTTAAAATCAGTTCTTTGTAAATGTGTAAACACCTGTCAAGACTGCTCAAGGTATAAGAGAGAAAAAGCAAATTATTAACATAGGAATAAAAAGGAGATAGCATCAAAAATCCTGTAAACATAAAAGAAGATACAGAAACATAAAGAGATCTTGCCAATGAATTTGACAACTTATGTGAAATAGACAAATTCTTTAAAAATCACACCTCTGAAAACTTACATAAAATAAAATAGAAAAATTAGAATTGTTCTCTACTTTAAAATTTCAATTTGTTATCAAAAGTTATCTTACAAAGAAAACTCTAGTTTCAAGTGGACTGATGAGTGAATCTTACCAAAATTTAAGACAGGATAAAACCAATATTAAACACTTTTCAGGCTGGGCACAGTAGCTCACGCCTGCAATCACAGCATTTTAGGAGGCTGAGGCAGGTGGATCAACTGAAGTCAGGAGCTCAAAACCAGCCTGGCCAACATGGCACAACCCCGTCTCTACTAAAAATAAAAAAATTAGCAGGGTGTGGTTGCAGGCACCTGTAATCCCAGCTACTTGGGAGTCTGAGGCAGGAGAATCGCTTGAATCCAGGAAGTGGAGGTTGCAGTGAGCCAAGTTCGTGCCACTGTACTCCAGCCTGGTCAACAGAGTGAGACTCTGTCAAGAAGGAAAGAAAGAAAGAGAGAGAGAGAGAAAATAAACCACTTTTCAGAAAATAGAGGAGGCCTGTATGACCCTGGCATCAAAAATGTTAGTCATTAAACGAAAAATAAATTACAAATATCCCTTGAGAAAAAATCTATAACAATAGATGAGATTAAGCACAGGAAAGAATTTCAGAACTTGAAGACATGTCCTTTAAAATAATCCAGTCAGATAAAAATTGAGAAATAAAAATTTTTAAAAATGAACAAAACCTACAAGATATTTGGGACTACAAAAAGTGACCAAAAGTATGAATTATCAGTATTTTTATTGGTGAAGAGAGATTCAAAGCCTTAGAAAATCTATTTAACAAAAGAATAGATGAAAACTTCCCAAGTTTAGCAAGAAATTTAGATATCAAGACACAGGAGGCTCAGCAATCTCCATGTAACTACAATGCAAAAAGGAATTTGCCATCTTATATTATAATCAAAGTGTCTAAAGAAAGAATTCTAATGTCAGCAAGAGGAAAGTATCTAATCACCTAAAGAGAAAACTCCCTCAGACTAACACAGGGCTTCTCAGCAGAAACCTCTCAGGTCAGAACAGAATATAAAAAATTCAACGAAACAAAAAAGTTGGTTCTTTGAAAAGATATGCAAGTTGATAAACCATGAACTAGGCTAATACAAGAAAAAAAAAAAGAGAAAGACCCAAATAAGCCACCTCAGAAATGAAAAAGGAGACATTACAACTGATACCTAGGAAATACAAAAGATCATCAGATATACTATTAGGAATAAGTACATGTTCAAAAACTAGAAAACCTAGAGGAAACTGATAAATTATTGGAAACAAACAACCTCCCAAGATTGAACTATGAAGTAACAGAAAACCTGAACAGACTATAATGAGTAGTGAGATTGAATCAGTAATAATAATAATAATAATAATAAACTCACAACAAAAAGAAGACCTGAGTGAATTCACAGCCAAATTCTTCAAAATATACAGAGAATAACTCATATCAGTCTTCCTGAAACTATTCCCAAAAATTGAAGGAGAGGGAATTCTCCCTATCTCATTCTATGAGTCCAGTATCACCCTGACACATAAAACCAGACAAATACACAACCAAAGAAGAAATCTACAGACCAACAGTGCTGATGAACATAGACACAAATATTTTCAATAAAATACTAGCAAATAGTATCCAAGAGCACATAAAAGAGATAAATCACCATGATCAAGTAGGTTTTATACCCAAGGATAATTCAACATGCACAAATCAATAAATGTGATACATTGCATAAACAGAATTAAGGACAAAAACCATATGATCATCTCAATAGACAAAAGGCATTTGACAAATTTCAGCATCCTTTCATGATTAAAAAAAAAACTAGGCACACAAGGAACATGTTCAAAATAATAGAAGCCATTTATGACAAATGTCATCCAGCCAACATCATACTGAATTGGGAAAAGTTGAAAGTACTTCCTTTAAGAACTTGAAGAGAATGAGGATGCCTACTTTCACCACTCATATTCAACATATTACTGGAAGTTCTAGCCAGTGTAATCAGGCAATAGAAAGAAATATAAAACATCTAATCGCAGAAGTAGAAAAAAAATCCTAAATTTTATATGGAACAAAAAAAGGGCCCAAATAGCCAAAGTAATCCTCAGAAACTGGAAAAGAGGAAGTCAAATCATCCCTTTTTTGCTGATGATATAATTTTATATCTAGAACAACCTAAAGACTCCATCACAAAAACCTGTTAGATTTAATAAAGAAACATAGTAAAGTTGCAGGATACAAAAATCAATGTACAAAAATCAGTAGTGTTCCTATATATCAATAATGATCTAGCTGAAAAGAAGGGATTCGCATTTATAATAGCCACAAAAAATATAATACCTAAAGTATATTCAACTATGGAGATTAAAGATCTCTACAAAGAAAACTACAAAACACTAATTAAAGAAACTGAAGGCAACACACACACGTACACACACACATCCCACAAAGATATTCTATGTTCATGGATTGGAAGAATCAGTATCATTAAAATGACAACACTATCCAAAGCAATCTACAGATTCAATGCAATCCCTATCAAAATATCAATGTTATTTTTCACAGAATTAGAAAACAAATCCTTAAATTCATACGGAACATAAAAAGACCCCAAATAGCCAAAGCACCTCTAAGCAAGGAGAACAAAACTAAAGGTATTGCATTGTGTGACTTCAAATTATACTACCAGGTTGTACTAATGAAAATAGCATGGTACTGATATAAAAAAGGCAACATAGATCAATGGAAAGAATAAAGAACCCAGAAATGATGTAATGCCACATATTTACAGTTAACTGATTTTTTTAAAAAGCTGACAAGAACATACACTGGGGAAAGTACAGCTTTTTAAATAAACGGTGCTGGGAAAATTGAATTGCGATATGCAGAAAAATAGTACTTTTACCTTTATCTTTTACCATATACAAAAATCAATTCAAGGTCGATTAAAGACTTAAACATAAGACCCCAGACTATAAAAATACTGGAAGAAAACCAATGAAAAACTCTTCTGGACATTCATCTAGGCAAATAATTTATAACTAAAACCTCAAAAGCACAGGCAACAAAAACAAAAATAGACAAACTAGACTCAATTAAACTAAAAATCTTCTGCACAGCAAGAGAAATAATCAAGAAAGTAACAGACAACTGCAGAATGGAAGAAAAAAATGGCAAACTGTGCCCCCAACAGTAGGCTAATATCCAGAATATACAAGGAACTCAAATAACAACAAAAACTCCAAATATTCCCATTAAAAAGTGGGCAAAGGACATGAACAGACATTTTTCAAAAGAAGACATACAAATGGCCAACAGGTATATGAAAAAATGTTCAACAATGCTAATCATCAAAAAAATGCAAATTAAAACCACAATGACATATCATCTTACCCTAATCAGAATGGCTATCATTAAAAAGACCAAAAACAACAGATGTTGTTAAAATGTGGTGAAAAGGGAACACTTATACACTATTGGTGGAAATGTAAATTATTAACAATTGTATAGAAAACAGTATGGAAATTTCTCAAAAAACTAAAAATAGAACTACCATTCAATGTAGCAATCCCACTGCTGGGTACCTACCCAAAGGAAAAGAAATTAATATTTAAAAAATGCATAAACTTGTAGGATGACCATAGCACTATTCAAAATAACAAAGATAAGGAATCGACCTAAGTATCCACCAACAGATGATTGGATAAATTTCAAAAGAGAATGCTTTTAGCTTTTGCCCATTCAGTATGATATTGGCTGTGGGTTTGTCATAAATAGCACTTATTATTTTGAGATATGTTCCATCAATACCTAGTTTATTGAGTGTTTTTAGCATAAAGGGTGTTCGATTTTGTCAAAGGTCTTTTCTGCATCTATTGAGATAATCATGTGATTTTTGTCGTTGGTTCTGTTTATGTGATGAATTACATTTATTGATTTGCATATGTTGAACCAGCCTTGCATCCCAGGGATGAAGCCTACTCAATTGTGGTGGATAAGCCTTTTGATTTGCTGCTGGAATTGGATTTCCAGTATTTTATTGAAGATTTTCACATCAATGTTCATCAGGGATATTGGCCTGAAATTTTCTTTTATTGTGTCTCTGTCAGGTTTTGGTATCAGGATGATGCTGACCTCATAAAATGAGTTAGGGAGGAGTCCCTCTTTTTCTATTGTTTAAAATAGTTTTAGAAGGAGTGGTACCAGCTCCTGTTTGTACCTCTGGTAGAATTTGGCTGTGAATCCATCTGGTCCTGGTCTTCTGCTAGCTTTTGAATGTGTTTGCTCTTGCTTCTCTAGTTCTTTTAATTGTGATGTTGGGGTGTCGATTTTAGATCTTTCTCACTTTCTCCTGTGAGCATTTAGTGCTATAAATTTCCCTCTACACACTGCTTTAAATGTGTCCCAGAGATTTTGGTACATTGTGTCTTTGTTCTCATTGGTTTCAAATAACTTATTTATGTCTTAATTTCATTATTTATGAAGTAGTCATTCAGGAGCAGATTGTTCAGTTTCCATGTAGTTGTGTGGTTTTGAGTGAGTTTCTTAATCCTGAGTTCTAATTTAATTGTACTGTGAACTGAGAGACTATTTGTTATGATTTTCATTCTTTTGCATTTGCTGAGGAGGGTTTTACTTCCAATTATGTGGTCTACTTTAGAATAAGTGCTATATGGTGCTGAGAAGAATGTATGTTCTGTTGATTTGGGGTGGAGAGTTCTGTAGATGTCTATTAGGTCCACTAGGTCCAGAACTGAGTTCAAGTCCTGGATATCCTTGTTAATTTTCTGTCTTGTTGATCTGTCTAATATTGACAGTGGGGTGTTAAAGTCTCCCACTATTGTTGTGTGGGAGTCTAAGTCTCTTTGTAGGTCTCTAAGAACTTGCTTTATGAATCTGGGTGCTCCTGTATTGGATGCATATATATTTAGGATAGTTAGTTCTTCTTGTTGCATTGATCCCTTTACCATTATGTAATGGCCTTCTTTGTCTTTTTTGATCTTTGTTGGTTTAAATTCTGTTTTACAAGAGACTAGGATTGCAACCTCTCCTTTTATGTGCTTTCCATTTGCTGGGTAAATCTTCCTCCATCCCTTTATTTTGAGCCTATGTGTGTCTATTCACATGAGATGGGTCTCCTGAATACAGCATACTGATGGGTCTTGACTCTTTAACCAATTTGCCAGTCTGTGTCTTTTAACTGGGGCATTTAGCCCATTTACATTTAAGGTTAATGTTGTTATGTGAGAATTTGAGCCTGTTATTATGATGCTAGCTTGTTATTTTGCCTGTTAGTTGATGCAATTTCTTCATAGTGTCGATGGTCTTTACATTTTGGTATGTTTTTGCAGTGGCTGGTACCAGCTTTTCCTTTTTATATTTAGTGCTTTTTTCAGGAGCTCTTGTAAGACAGGCCTGGTAGTGACAAAATCCCTCAGCATTTGCTTGTCTGTAAAAGATTTTATTTCTCCTTTACCTATGAAGCATAGTTTGGCTGGATACAAAATTCTGGGTTGGAAATTATTTATTTAAGACTGTTGAATATTGGCCTCCACTCTCTTCTGGCTTGTAGGGTTTCTGCAGAGAGATCCACTGTTAGTCTGATGGGCTTCCCTTTGTGGATAACCTGACCTTTCTGCCTGGCCGCCCTTAATATTTTTTCCTTCATTTCAACCTTGGTGAATCTGACAATTATGTGTCTTGGGGTTGCTCTTCTCGAGGAGGATCTTTGTGGTTTTTCTCTGTATTTCCTGAATTTGAATGTTGGCCTGTCTTGCTAGGTTGGAGAAGTTCTCCTGAATAATACTGTGAAGTGTGTTTTCCAACTTGGTTCCTTTTTCCCCAATATTTTCAGGTACACCAATCAAATGTAGGTTTGGTCTTTTCACATAGTCCCATGTTTCCTGGAGGCTTTATTCATTCCTTTTCATTCTTTTTTCTCTAATCTTGCCTTCATGGTTTATTTTATTAAGTTGATCTTCAATCTCTGATATCCTTTCTTCTGCTTGATTGATTCCACAATTGATACTTGTGTATGCTTCATCAAGTTCTCGTGCTGTGTTTTTCAGCTCCATCAGGTCATTTATTTTCTTCTCTAAACTGTTTATTCTAGTTAGCAATTCCTGTAACCTTTTATCAAGGTTCTTAGCTTTTTTGCATTGGGTTAGAACATACTCCTTTAGCTCAGAGGAGTTTGTTATTACCCACCTTCTGAAGCCTACTTCTGTCAACTCATCAAACTCATTCTCCATCCAATTTTGTTTCCTTGCTGGCAAGGAGTTGTGATCCTTTGGAGGAGAAGAGGCCTTCTGGTTTTTGGAATTTTCAGCCTTTTTGTGCTATTTTTTTCCCATCTTCATGGATTTATCTGTCTTTGGTCTTTGCTGTTAGTGACCTTCGGATGGAGTTTTTGTGTTGTCATCCTTTTTGTTGATGTTGATGCTATTGCTTTCTGTTAGTTTTCTTTCTCACAGTCAGGCCCCTCTTCTGCAGGTCTGCTGGAGTTTGCTGGAGGTCCATTCCAGACCCTGTTTGCCTGGGTATCACCAGTGGAGGCTGCAGAACAGCAAAGACTGCAGCCTCCTCCTTCCTCTAGAAGCTTTGTCCCAGAGGGGCTCCCACCAGGAGCACAGTCCAGCTGGTGCTCTTCTGTATGTGGTGTCTGTCAACCCCTGCTGCAAGGTGTCTCCCTGTCAGGAGGCACAGTGTTCCACGACCCACTTGAGAAGGCAGTCTGTCCCTTAGCAGAGCTCGAGCACCATGCTGGGAGATCTGCTGCTCTCTTCAGAGCTGGCAGATAGGAATGTTTAAGTCTGCTGAAGCTGCGTCCACAGCCGCCCCTTTCCCCAGGTGTTCTGTCCCAGGGAGATGAGAGTTTTATCTATAAGCCCCTGACTGAGGCTGCTGCCTTCCTTTCAGAGATACCCTTCCCAGACAGGAGGAATCTAGAGAGGCATTCTGGCTACTGTGGCTTTGCGGAGCTGTGGTGGGTTCTGCCCAGTCCAAATTTCCTGTTAGCTTTGTTTATACTGTGAGGGGAAGGCTGCCTACTCAAAACTCAGTAATGGTGGACACCCCTCCTGCAAAAAGCTCAAGCCTCCCAGATCAACTTCAGACTGCTATGCTGGCAGTGAGAATTTCAAGCCAGTGGATCTTAGCTTGCTGTGCTCCATGGGGGTGGGATCCACTGAGCAAGACCACTTGACTCCCTGGCCTCAGCCCCCTTTCCAGGGGAGTGAACAGTTGTGTCTGGCTGGCATTCCAGGCGCCACTGGGGTATGAAAGAAAACTCCTGAAGCTAGTTCGGTGTCTGGCCTACTCTACCCAGTTTTGTGCTTGAAACCCAGAGCCCTTGTGGTATAAGCACCTGAAGGAATCTCCTGGTCTGTGGGTTGTGAAGACCATGGTAAAAGCGTAGTATCTGGGCCATATAGCACCGTCCCTCATAGCACGGTCCCTCAAGGCTTCCCTTGTCTAGGGAAGGGAGTTCCCCAACCTCTTTTGCCTCCCAGGTGAGGTGACACCTACCCTGTTTCTGCTCACCTCCTGTGGGCAGCACCCACTGTCTAACCAGTAACAATGAGATGAACTGGGTACTCAGTTTGAAATGCAGAGATCACCCACATTCTGCATTGGTCTCTCTGGGAGCTGCAGATGAGAGCCATTCCTATTCGGCCATCTTGCCCAGGAACAAGGAAGAAAATATGTTAATTGGGCAAGAAAGGCATTCAAAAAATAATATAAATAAAAGGAAAATGAAATGGTTAATAATAGTCTATTCTAAATGTTCATCATTTCTCCCATAAATTTATAAAGCTTTTTATTCTACTCTCCTTCTGGGGGAAAAATTGTTACAATACTTGAAGAAGCAATTATGTTTTCCAAAATATTCTCTAGAGAGTGAGTAGCTTGCTCTTGGTCACAGAAGTGTGGAACTGTGGTTAATTTTCCAGGAGTGATGATGACACATCACTGCACTAGATTATGCTGGCCTGGCAGTCTCAGTTAAAGTAATTCACTGTGTGTCATTTCCATTCAGAAGAGTGACAGTATTTCCTTTCTCTCAGCCAAAAGCCTTCTCAGGAGGGATCTAATTCTGACCTGCCAAAGGTTTCACAGCTTCAGGCACTCCCCAGGGAACTGTCTAATGAACTCATTGTGACAACTGATATTTAATGGTGACATAGTCATTGATTCAGAACTGTGTTACAAGTCATATGCTTGTTGGGTGGAGATAAGGCAAGCACACCTCTGTCATTCAACATAACCTTAAATTTGGGTAACCAACTTTTCATGCCTGCATATGTGACAGTTTTTCATCATTAATTCCAGGAAAGAGATATATGGGCAATTTGGAGATCAGATCAGTTAATAATTTTCTCAGGGGTGCTAGTTATGTCTTTCCCAACAAGAGGAGCAGTTAACATTTATTGAGGGCCTAGGCCTATTGCTAAGTGCTTAACATAAATGACCTCATTAATTTCTCCCGTTAAATGAAATGAATACCCAAGAACTTAAAAGTTGTCCAAGGTCACAGAGCTAACAGCTATTGAAAGCCAGGAATAAAACCCAGGGCTACTTGATGTCCAAACTTTCTAACACCAACTATTATTCTTTCCTTCCTTTAAATTACATAAAATAATAAAACTCCATAAATTAAACACCAATAGAACAAAAAACAAAACAAAAAAACACACTACATTTAAAGAAAAACTTGTCAGGAGTCTATTTAGAAATTTTTACTGTCTTTATGCAAGTTCAGAGGAGCCTAATCTTTGTTAACTACAAAAATAACAGCAGAGAGCACACCTATTCAGAGACTAACATGAATCTCTTCAAAATGGAAATGCTGCAGTAAAAACCATAAATGTGCAAATAGCTCAAAGTTAAATGCAGAAAACATTGCACTATAAAAACTAAGAGGAAAGGACAACCTCTGAGAATCTGTTAACAATGCTGTAGAAGGAGGAGGGAGCCAAGATGGCCGAAGAGGAACAGCTCCAGTCTACAGTTCCCAGCATGAGCGACGCAGAAGACAGGTGATTTCTGCATTTCCATCTGAGGCACCAGGTTCATCTCACTAGGGAGTGCCAGACAGTGGGTGCAGGACAGTGGGTGCAGCGCACCATGCGCGAGCTGAAGCAGGGTGAGGCATTGCCTCACTTGGGAACTGCAAGGGGTCAGGGAGTTCCCTTTAATAGTAAAAGAAAGGGGTGACAGATGGCACCTGGAAAACCAGGTCACTCCCACCCTAATACTGCGCTTTTCCAACGGGCTTGAAAGACAGCCCACCAGGAGATTATATCCCACACCTGGCTCGGAGGGTCCTACACCCACAGAGTCTCACTGATAACTAGCACAGCAGTCTGAGATCAAACTGCAAGGTGGTAGCGAGGCTGGGGGAGGGGTGCCCGCCATTGCCCAGGCTTGCTTAGGTAAACAAAGCAGCCTGGAAGCTCGAACTGGGTGAAGCCCACCACAGCTCAAGGAGGCCTGCCTGCCTGTGTAGGTTCCACCTCAGGGGGCAGGGCACAGACAAACAAAAAGACAGCAGTAACCTCTGCAGACTTAAATGTCCCTGTCTGACAGCTTTGAAGAGAGCAGTGGTTCTCCCAGCACGCAGCTGGAGATCTGAGAACGGGCAGACTGCCTCCTCAAGTGGGTCCCTGACCCCTGACCCCCGAGCAGCCTAACTAGGAGGCACCCCCCTGTAGGGGCAGACTGACACCTCACACGGCCAGGTGCTAATCTGAGACAAAACTTCCAGAGGAACGATCAGACAGCAGCATTCCTGGTTCACGAAAACCCACTGTTCTGAAGCCACCGCTGCTGACACCCAGGCAAACAGGGTCTGGAGTGGACCTCTAGCAAACTCCAACAGACCTGCAGCTAAGGGTCCTGTCTGTCAGAAGGAAAACTAACAAACAGAATGGACATCCACACCAAAAACCCATCTGTACATCACCATAATCAAAGACCAAAAGTAGATAAAACCACAAAGATGGGGAAAAAACAGAGGATAAAAACTGGAAACTCTAAAAAGCAGAGCGCCTCTCCTCCAAAGGAACGCAGTTCCTCACCAGCAACGGAACACTATGTGAAGAATGCAGAAGCCTCAGGAGCTGATTTGATCAACTGGAAGAAAGGGTATCAGTGATGGAAGATGAAATGAATGAAATGAAGTGAGAAGGGAAGTTTAGAGAAAAAAGAATAAAAAGAAATGAACAAAGCCTCCAAGAAATATGGGACTATGTGAAAAGACCAAATCTACGTCTGATTGGTGTACCTGAAAGTGACGGGGAGAATGGAACCAAGTTGGAAAACACTGCAGGATATTATCCAGGAGAATTTCCCCAATCTAGCAAGGTAGGCCAACATTCAGATTCAGGAAATACAGAGAACGCCACAAAGATACTCCTCGAGAAGAGCAACTCCAAGACACATAATTGTCAGATTCACCAGAGGTGAAATGAAGGAAAAAATGTTAAGGGCAGCCAGAGAGAAAGGTTGGGTTACCCACAAAGGGAAGCCCATCAGACTAATAGCTGATCTCTCGGCAGAAACTCTACAAGCCAGAAGAGAGTGGGGGCCAATATTCAACATTCTTGAAGAAAAGAATTTTTAACCCAGAATTTCATATCCAGCCAAACTAAGCTTCATAAGTGAAGGAGAAATAAAATCCTTTACAGACAAACAAATGCTGAGAGATTTTCTCACCACCAAGCTGGCCCTAAAAGAGCTCCTGAAGGAAGCACTAAACATGGAAAGGAACAACCGGTACCAGCCACTGGAAAAACATGCCAAATTGTAAAGACCATTGAGGCTTGGAAAAACCTGCATCAACTAATGAGCAAAATAAACAGCTAACATAATGACAGAATCAAATTCACAAATAACAATATTAACCTTAAATGTAAATGGGCTAAAAGCTCCAATTAAAAGACACAGACTGGCAAATTGGATAAAGAGTCAAGACCCATCAGTGTGCTGTATTCAGGAAAACCATCTCACATGCAGAGGCACACATAGGCTCAAAATAAAAGGATGGAGGAAGAGCTACCAAGCAAATGGAAACAAAAAAAGGCAGGGGTTGCAATCCTGGTCTCTGATAAAACAGACGTTAAACCAACAAAGATCAAAAGACACAAAGAAGGCCATTACATGATGGTAAAGGGATCAATTCAACAAGAAGAACTAACTATCCTAAATATATATGCACCCAATACAGGAGCACCCAGATTCACAAAGCAAGTCCTTAGTGACCTACAAAGAGACTTAGACTCCCACACAATAATAATGGGAGACTTTAACACTCCACTGTCAATACTAGATCAACAAGACAGAAAGTTAACAAGGATATCCAGGAATTGAACTCAGCTCTGCACCAAGCAGAGCTAATAGACATCTACAGAACTCTCCACCCCAAATCAACAGAATATACATTCTTTTCAGCACCACACCACACCTATTCCAAAATTGACCACATAGTTAGAAGTAAGCACTCCTCAGCAAATGTAAAAGAACAGAAATTATAACAAACTGTCTCACAGACCACAGTGCAATCAAACTAGAACTCAGGATTAAGAAACTCACTCAAAACCGCTCAACTACATGGAAACTGAACAACGTGCTCCTGAATGACTACTGGGTACGTAACGAAATGAAGGCAGAAATAAAGATGTTCTTTGAAAACAATGAGAACAAAGACACAACATACCAGAATCTCTGGGACACATTTAAAGCAGTGTGTAGAGGGAAATTTATAGCACTAAATGCCCACAAGAGAAAGCAGGAAAGATCTAAAATTGACACCCTAACATCACAATTAAAAGAGAGAAGCAAGAGCAAACACATTCAAAAGCTGGCAGAAGGCAAGAAATAACTAAGATCAGAGCAGAACTGAAGGAAATAGAGACACAAAAAACCCTTCAAAAAATCAATGAATCCAGGAGCTGTTTTTTTGAAAAGATCAACAAAATTGATAGACTGCTAGCAAGACTAATAAAGAAGAAAAGAGAGAAGAATCAAATAGACGCAATAAAAAATGGCAAAGGGGATATCACCACCGATCCCACAGAAATACAAACTACCATCAGAGAATACTATAAACACATCTCGCAAATAAACTAGAAAATCTAGAAGAAATGGATAAATTCCTCGACACATACACCCTCCCAAGACTAAACCAGGAAGAAGTTGAAGCTCTGAATAGACCAATAACAGGCTCTGAAATAGAGGCAATAATTAATAGCTTACCAACCAAAAAAAGTCCAGGACCAGATGGATTCACAGCCGAATTCTACCAGAGGTACAAGGAGGAGCTGGTACCATTCCTTCTGAAACTATTCCAATCAATAGAAAAAGAGGGAATCCTCTCTAACTCATTTTATGAGGCCAGCATCATCCTGATACCAAAGCCTGGCAGAGACACAACAGAAAAAGAGAATTTTAGACCAATATCCTTGATGAATATTGATGCAAAAATCCTCAATAAAATACTGGCAAACCAAATCCAGCAGCACATCAAAAAGCTTATCCACCATGATCAAGTGGGCTTCATCCCTGGGATGCAAGGCTGGTCCAACATACGAAAATCAATAAACGTAATCCAGCATATAAACAGAACCAAAGACAAAAACCACATGATTATCTCAATAGATGCAGAAAAGGCCTTTGACAAAATTCAACAACCCTTCATGCTAAAAACTCTCAATAAATTACGTATTGATGGGACGTATCTCAAAATAATAAGAGCTATCTATGACAAACCCACAGCCAATATCATACTGAATGGGCAAAAACTGGAAGCATTCCCTTTGAAAACTGGCACAAGACAGAGATGCCCTCTCTCACCACTCCTATTCAACATAGTGTTAGAAGTTCTGTCCAGGGCAATCAGGCAGGAGAAGGAAATAAAGGGCATTCAATTAGGAAAAGGGGAAGTCAAATTGTCCCTGTTTGCAGATGACATGATTGTATATCTATAAAACCCCATTGTCTCAGCCCAAAATCTCCTTAAGCTGATAAGCAACTTCAGCAAAGTCTCAGGATACAAAATCAATGTACAAAAATCAGAAGCATTCTTATACACCAATAACAGACAAACAGAGAGCCAAATCCTGAGTGAACTCCCATTCACAATTGCTTCAAAGAGAATAAAATACCTAGGAATCCAACTTACAAGGGATGTGAAGGACCTCTTCAAGGAGAACTACAAACCACTGCTCAAGGAAATAAAAGAGGATACAAACAAATGGAAGAACATTCCATGCTCATGGGTAGGAAGAATCAATATCATGAAAATGGCCACACTGCCCAAGGTAATTTATAGATTCAATGCCATCCCCATCAAGCTACCAATGACTTTCTTCACAGAATTGGAAAAAACTACTTTAAAGTTCATATGGAACCAAAAAAGAGCCCACACTGCCAAGTCAATCCTAAGCCAAAAGAACAAAGCTGGAGGCATCATACTACCTGACTTCAAACTATACTACAAGGCTACAGTAACCAAAACAGCATGGTACTGGTACCAAAACAGAGATATAGACCAATGGAACAGATCAGAGCCCTCAGAAATAATGCTGCATATCTACAACTATCTGATCTTTGACAAACCTGAGAAAAACAAGCAATGGGGAAAGGATTCCCTATTTAATAAATGGTGCTGGGAAAACTGGCTAGCCATATGTAGAAAGCTGAAACTGGATCCCTTCCTTACACCTTATACAAAAATTAATTCAAGATGGATTAAAGACTTAAATATTAGACCTAAAACCATAAAAATCCTAGAAGAAAACCTAGGCATTACCATTCAGGACATAGGCATGGGCAAGGACTTCATGTCTAAAACACCAAAAGCAATGGCAACAAAAGACAAAATTGACAAATGGGATCTAATTAAACTAAAGAGCTTCTGCACAGCAAAAGAAACTACCATCAGAGTGAACAGGCAACCTGGAAAATGGGAGAAAATTTTCGCAACCTACTCATCTGACAAAGGGCTAATATCCAGAATCTACAATGAACTCAAACAAATTTACAAGAAAAAAACAAACAACCCCATCAAAAAGTGGGTGAAGGATATGAACAGACACTTCTCAAAAGAAGACATTTATGCAGCCAAAAAACACATGAAAAAATGCTCACCATCACTGGCCATCAGAGAAATGCAAATCAAAACCACAATGAGATACCATCTCACACCAGTTAGAATGGCAATCATTAAAAAGTCAGGAAACAACAGGTGCTGGAGAGGATGTGGAGAAATAGGAACACTTTTACACTGTTGGTGGGACTGGAAACTAGTTCAACCATTGTGAAAGTCAGTGTGGCAATTCCTCAGGGATCTAGAACTAGAAATACCATTTGACCCAGCCATCCCATTACTGGGTATATACCCAAAGGTCTATAAATCATGCTGCTATAAAGACACATGTACACGTATGTTTATTGCGGCATTATTCACAATAGCAAAGACTTGGAACCAACCCAAATGTCCAACAATGATAGACTGGATTAAGAAAATGTGGCACATATACACCATGGAATACTATGCAGCCATAAAAAATGATGAGTTCATGTCCTTTGTAGGGACATGGATGAAATTGGAAATCATCATTCTCAGTAAACTATCGCAAGAACAAAAAACCAAACACCACATATTCTCACTCATAGGTGGGAATTGAACAATGAGATCACATGGACACAGGAGGGGGAACATCACACTCTGGAGACTGTTGTGGGGTGGGGGGAGGGGGGAGGGATAGCACTGGGAGATATACCTAATGCTAGATGACAAGTTAGTGGGTGCAGCGCACCAGCATGGCACATGTATACGTATGTAACTAACCTGCACAATGTGCACATGTACCCTAAAACTTAAAGTATAATAATAAAAAATAAAAAATAAAAAAAAAAAGAGCTTCTGCACAGCAAAAGAAACTACCATCAGAGTGAACAGGCAACCTACAGAATGGGAGAAAATTTTTGCAACCTACTCATGTGACAAAGGGCTTGTATCCAGAATCTACGATGAACTCAAACAAATTTACAAGAAAAAAAAAACAAACAACCCCATCAAAAAGTGGGCAAAGGAGATGAACAGACACTTCTCAAAAGAAGACATTTATGCAGCCAAAAAACACATGAAAAAATGCTCATTATCACTGGCCATCACAGAAATGCAAATCAAAACCATAATGAGATACATCTCACACCAATTAGAATGGCGATCATTAAAAGGTCAGAAAACAACAGGTGCTGGAGAGGATGTGGAGAAATAGGAACACTTTTACACTGTTGGTGGGACTGTAAACTAGTTCAACCATTGTGGAAGTCAGTGTGGTGATTCCTCAGGGATCTAGAACTAGAAATACCGTTTGACCCAGCCATCCCTTTACTGGGTATATACCCAAAGGATTGTAAATCATGCTGCTATAAAGACACATGCAGATGTATATTTACTGCAGCACTATTCACAATAGCAAAGACTTGGAACCAACCCAAATGTCCAACAATGATAGACTGGATTAAGAAAATGTGGCGCATATGAACCATGGAACACTATGCAGCCATAAAAAATGATGAGTTAATGTCCTTTGTAGGGACATGGATGAAGATGGAAACCATCATTCTCAGCAAATTATCGCAAGGACAAAATACCAAACACCACTTGTTCTCACTCATAGGTGGGAATTGAACAATGAGAACACATGGATACAGGAAGGGGAACATCACACACTAGGGACTGTTGTGGGGTTGGGGGATGGGGGAGGGATAGCATTAGGAGATATACCTAATGCTAAATGACGAGTTAATGGGTGCAGCACAACAACATGGCACATGTATACATATGTAACTAACCTGCACTTTGTGCACATGTACCCTAAAACTTAAAGTATAATAATAAAATTAAAAAAAAGAATATGTGTTAATATTGATGATTTTATACCAAGATTTCATAGTATAATACAAGTTCCTTTGATTTTCAAGCTCAGTTCTCCTTTTACTTCAGGGAACTTTTAAAATTACGTTTTTGTTCATAGTTTTTCTTAATTTGGGGGGATTTTCTACCTTGGGGACTCTGATAATCATTATTTGGCTACTCTGTTTTCTTTCTAACTTATTTAATCACTTCACCTCTTTCTTCTTAATTTATTCTCAATATTCATGGCTTTCCTGCAAATTAGGGATTCAGTTTTGAGCAATATTCTATCTATCTATAATCTATTCTATCTATCTATGTATAATCTATTCTATCTATCTATAATCTATTCTATCATACATCAAATGTGTTTGTCAGATCTATAATTAGGCCATTCTATAATATTATTACATCATTGAGTTATTACATTAAGATGAGTTTTATAACTTTTTTTTTAAGACAGGGACTTGCTCTGTCACCCAGTCTAGAGTGCGGTGGTGATCACGGCTCACTGCAACCTTGACCTCCTGGGCTCAAGTGATCCTCTAGCCTCAGCCTCCCAAGTAGCTGGGACTACAGGCACACACCACCACACCGGACTAATTTTTGTATTTTTTGTAGCGATGGGGTTTTGCCATGTTGTGCAGGCTGGTCTTGAACTCCTGGGCTCAAGCCATCCTCCCGCCTTGGCCTCACAAAGTGCTAGGATTACAGGCGTGAGCCACTGTGCCCAACCAAGCTTTATAAGTTCTAAGCAGAAATAACCTACTCATATGTGTTTTACTTTTCTTTGGGTAATGCTCACTTGCACTCTGGGATCTCTGTCTTTTTCTTTTCTTCATTTTTCTGTAGGAAGTTTGGGCCGGGCGCGGTGGCTCATGCTTGTTATCCCAGCACTTTGGAAGGTCAAGACGGGCAGATCACGAGGTCAGGAAATCGAGACCATCCTGGCTAACATGGTGAAACCCCGTCTCTACTAAAAATACAAAAAATTAGCCAGGCATGGTGGCGGGCACCTGTAGTCCCAGCTACTCGGAGAGGCTGAAGCAGGAGAATGGCGTGAACCCAGGAGGCGGAGCTTGCAGTGAGCCACTGCTGCACTCCGGCCTGGGCAACAGAGCGAGACTTCGTCTCAAACAAAAAAAAAAAAAAGAAGAAAGTTTGTTTAGTTGCTAGGCTACGTATTTTCTTCTTCAATGCTTAATATTGGCAGCTTTATCCAGGATTTCTGTTTTCCCCTACAAAATGTGGTGAATTTTTCTTGTCACTACTCAGGCTTACATGATATCTGGTTGGCACTCTCTCTGAACTACAGTTTGAGAACTGGGGTTTTGCTATTACATGTACTTTTTAGATTTTTTAGGTTGAGCAGTTTACAACAAAAAGCTCTATTTGTTTGAGTGCAGTCATTTTCGGATAGTCAGGTCTCTGCTCTGTCTGCTGAGATTGTGTTAAGTGTCTTTTAGTAGAATTGATTTCACTGAGTTCAGGTGTATATTATTCCTACGGAAGATTCCATTTATGGTTTTGACTATTCACCTGGAACACAGTGACCCCTGGTGGTTTCTCCTGCCTTGGCTGAGAACCTGAGACCTGCTGTTGGCAGAGAGAACTGTCTTTTTAAGGGGCTTTTCAGAAATTTTCTCCAGGCTACTTAATTGCCTTATTAATCTGCATTTCTCTAAATTGAGAAATAATAAGAATTCTCAGAATGTTTTCAATTCATCCTCTTTCCACTTTATGGCATTGGAGAGGTACAGAAGGAAATGAAGACTAAACTGCAACATACCAGAATCAGTTACTTTTCAAAATGTATATTATGTGGTTGAATATCTTTCCATGTTTGGATGCTGCCAGAGAGTTCATTGCTTGGTTATATCAGAGAATAGTGGTTGTCTACACTCATTATATCTTCTTTCTTTCTTCCGTAGAATATTTGTCCTATCGCTGTATACATGGCTGCTCAGAATAAAAATTCCATTTGCCAGTGTCTGTTGTAAGCAGGTGTGTTCATGTCACTAAGTTTGGCCATTAAAACACGGGCAGAAATATTTTCCGGCATTTGCTACTAAATATCCCTAAAAGATAGCAGGCATGTTCCATTTGCTCTTTTCTCCTCTTCATTCTGCTGCTGGCTTAATATAAAAAGGTAATGGATAGAACTCCAACCACCGTCTTGGAAAATGAGAACAAGAATTTTACTACAGGAATAAAGGAGTCAAAATCTGGGATAAGCCTAGGTCACTGACAGCTACATGATGCCACCAGGATTCCTTTATTTGGAAGAAAAAAAGCAGCACATTCTTAAACTTACTACTCTTTGGGGATTTTTATCACATGGAGTTAAACTTGACCCAAATGGATACTCTAGTTTTAATAATTTCTGCTCATTGTGCTAAGTATTGGATAAGGTAAGATTCTATGATTCAAACTTTTCCCTACATTATATCCAGTGCCTATGTTTAGCTAATACTTTAGCGGTGACTGGTCATTTAAAAAGTATTTTCATATATAGAGATGTAGATGTAAATTACACATATGTAAATATAATTTTGGTACATTTTCAAGAGATTTGTCATAAAGTTGGTCATAATATTCCTTTATTATGCTCCAGTCTCTTCTATATCTGTACATCTATCTCTTTTTTCATCCTTACTATTTCAGTGGCACCTAGTCTCTTTTTCTTTTCAGCAATATCACAAAATTTGTCTATTTTTATGTTTTTCAAAGAAACAGCTTTTGGTTTTTTACAAAGTACTTTAGCTCTCTTATTTTATTAATTTTAGTTCTTGTCTTATCCCTTTCTTCTATTTCCTCTGCATTTATTTAGCTGTTCACCTTTAATTTCTTAATTTAGATGCTTAGCACATTGATTTTCAGCTCTTTCCTTTCTAATTTTACTACTTATGTTCAGAATTTTTCTCTAAGGTATTAACTTTGCTGTCTCCCACATATTTTGATATGTTCTATATTCTTTATTATTTAGTTATAATTGCTTTAAATTTTATTATAATTTATTCTTTTACCTATGAGCAGTTTAAAAATGTGTTTTAATGCCCAATTTCCAAACTAATCACTGTGTTCAGAAAACACCCCATAGTCTAGTGTTATATAATAATGCTTTCTAAAAATACATTGATGCTTGATTGTGGCCAAGTTAATGGTCATGTTTTAAAAAATGTCCTGTGTGTGTGTTTGAGAGGATTGTTTCTTCTATAATTATTAGAGAGCAAGTTCTATAAAGGTAAGGGTTTCCATGTGACCAGTTGCCCTACATTAATCCCCAGTTTATGGTTACTGTCCCAACATAATAAATTGTGGCACTCCTCTTGCTCACAAAAGTATGCCATAAATTATTTTACCTTAAGCATTACATTATTACTAAGTCAAATATTAACTCATGCTTGTTAATTACATAACTCAAGTGTTCTCTATCCTAACTCATGTTTTGGTCATTTGATCTCTTGATTAATGAGAA